>NC_000007.14:115234051-115537082 GCF_000001405.40 Homo sapiens | reverse complement strand
ATCACTTGAACCTAGGAGGCGGAGTTTGCAGTAAGCAGAGATCGCTCCCTGTACTCCTGCCTGGGCGACAGGAGCTTGACTCCGTCTCAAAAACAAAAACAAAAACAAAAAACAACTCCTCTTTTCTTTACAAATTACCCCGTCTGTGGTCTTCCTCTATAGCAACACAAGACAAGAGCAGCTGAACACAGCCTCACAGCCCATGCAAGTGCTGTTAGTGTCTATGTTAAGTTATTAATTCAGAAGTCTGGCTCTTTTCCCACATGGATTTCTGGTGTCCAGTTACTAATTATCTAATGTCAATAAGTGACAGATGCTGAATGATTACTCTGTGCCAGGAACCATTGTTTATTATTATTATTATTATTATTATTTTACATTAAGTTCTGGGATACATGTGCAGAATGTGCAGGTTTGTTATATAGGTATACACATACCATGGTGGTTTGCAGCATCCATCAACCCGTCATCTACATTAGGTATTTCTCCTAATGCTATTCCTCCTCTAGCCCCCCACCACCCAACAGGCCCCACTGTGTAATGTTCCCCTCCCTGTGTCCATGTGTTCTCATTGTTCAACTCCCGCTTATGAGTGAGAACATGCAGTGTTTGGTTTTCTGTTAAACCATTCTAAGAGCTTTAGGTGATTTCACTCATTTAAGCCTCACAAAAAAATATATGGGGAAACTGAGGTACAGTGAGGTTAAGTAACCTGCCTAAGGCAATACAATTATTAAGGAGCCATGCCTACGCACTTGACCACCGTGAAATATCATCTCTTTTGTATGTACCACTGGACTGAAGAGAGGTCTCCCTCTCCCACTGCCTCATCATCTGACCACATAGAATTATTTCAAATAATTCACTCTTATCTTTAAAAGTTCTGTAGTCCTTCCTTTCTTGGAAAAAATTGCTATTTCAGAGTGCATTGCATTCAAATTTGTCCCTACTGCTAGGCTTTCCTACTGCTAAATTATCACAATAGAAGGAAATGTTGCCTTACCTGTACCTCTTTGTGATTGACTCAGATGTACTCTTAAAAAAAATAGTCTCAAAGTAGAGATAAAAGGAGAGGTTCTGATGGGAATAATGGTGTGTAGTGGTGCTGTCCAGCTCAGAAAGTATCTTTGGCATAGTAGAGAGGTGCGCACAGAATCTTCTCTGTTAAGACAGCAAGTTTTTGACACAAGCACACAGTGGGACTGGATGGAAATGTCCCTCTTTGTTCCTGTCTAGCCCTGATAATCTGCCTTAGGGCTCCTTTACTTTGGTCATGGAAATTTCTCCTGGGGTCATGCAGACTGTAAAGAATATTTTTAGTTACTGGCACTATGAAAACCTGTGCTGGTCTTTGTGCATTTGCATAGACACCTAAAAGGGAAAGTTTAACCTTATATTTTACACCAAGTGGCAAGCCATCTGGTTTAACGGCCAGACAATTTGGAGGGTCTAGAGCCAGAGTCTGTTATGGAAGTGAACAAAGATCTACCATATAAATGAAGCAATTTCAAATTGGAACAAACAAACAAACAAACAAACAACACCTGAAACACTGGGTCTAAAGCTATAATGGAAAGGAACAAATTTACTTAAAAAGAAGGACCAATAGTGCCAGTCAGGTAAGAAAGAGCCAGGTAAAGCTTAGAAAGAAAATCCACAGAGGTTATGATCTAGAGAGAATATAAATCTTGCATAGACATCTTTGAATGTTTTCCCAGCTAGAAAGGAGATATTCACGCTAAATAATTTAAATTAATTTATTCTTAATCTATTAAGGCCAAATTAATGTAAACACCACCCTAAGTCCCTTCATCTGAGGTGCCAGAGTCTCTGGCTCATCTCAAAGAAAGAGGAATTCTCAGAATTGTTTATGTTGCCTGAATCGGGCTGAACTTATTGGACTTTCACTAAAACTGATTATGACATCTTTGGAAGTCAATCACATCTTGTATGAAATATTCGAATTTTCTGTTTTGAGTAAATGGGCAAATGAATGGGTAAAAGAGTAGATGGTGGAAGCTTAGTAAGAGGCAATGAAATATAGCACAGATTCATATCTGGACAGATACAACAGGAATCACATGGCTCAACCTCGATGCCCTACTTAACTTTGAGTAGTTGAATTCTGGCAACATGGTATGTTTAGAGAGTCAAAGGGGTGATGATCCTCCTGGATGATCACCCCTTTGGCCTGATCATGGTTACATAATGCTTGTACAACTTTGGATCTCTCCACACTGAATCTGCAAGTTCCACCAGAGAGTCTTATGATATTTGTTCAACTTCTGACAGTAACAACACCAATGTAGAGTGTTAGTGGGAGTGAAAACCACTGGAGCCATTAAAAGGACATTTCTGATAGAGAAGTATAGTGAGTTGTGTGTGTTCTTGGCAATAACAAAGTAGGCAAATTCGTTGTTTGTCAGCAGGATATATTCTATCACATATACTTCAATTCTCTGATCTTTCTGACCATAAGTCTGTAACTGCTAACTAATTAAATAGGTAAATGTGAACATGGAGGGCTTAAAGCTATGCTTTCGATGAACATGGGGCCACAGAAATAAGGCTACTGGATTACACTTAGATGTAAAAAAAAATATGATTAATGAATCACTAAAGGAAGGGATGTATAGACATTAGTGAAGACATATATAATCAATGTCTATACATGCCTTCCATTAGTGTCTCTTTTCTTTATAACTTACCCAGTCTCAGGTATTTCTCTACAGCAAAACAAGAGCAGACTAATACAGCCACTTCTGAAGAGAGGGTGAAGTGTATTATTATAATGTTGGAAATTAACCATCAGCAAGGTAGGTTTATGCTCATGGGAGGTGTTAGAAAAAGATAAAGATCCAAAGAAATCATATTCTGAAAATATTACAAAGTTAAGAGAGGACACAGAAAGTTACTGGGATTTCTGTCCTTGTCCTTGATTTAAATTTATGTCACAGGTGGTAGCATAGTATAGTGAAAACTCCCAAAATCAGGCCCATTAAATTCCCCATGGCCTATATTTGATATCATGAATGGGATAAGTGTGCCTAAGCCTTTTCTGCTCTCCTATACACCCACACATACTGACTCATGTCCTAAGAACTCTTAAATTACTCTTGCAACTAGAAGGTTCCTTGTAGTTTATTAAAGACTTTTTAAAGGCAGCTTCAGGTTGAAATGAATGGCTGAACAAATTTTCTTAAATGGAACTCATCCTAAGGTAGGACTAAACACACGACCTTCTTATACTCTGTTTTTCTGTAGAGGCAACTGCTCTGTGGTTTGGGCTGTTTCCTTGTGAACGTGGAGTTTAAAATGCTCCGAGCACAGACACATATGTAGTTGTATTACATTCTAGTACATGCAATTTTTCAACCTGAATGATCTCAGGGTATTTTAGAGTCTTGATTTTTACTTTATGGCAGAAACTGCCACCTAGTCAACCACAGTACATTTTCCATTCCCTCTTAGGCTATAGACCTAGATTACAACTCTAAACTTCCTTTGAAATGAGGGAGAGACAAACAATGTAGTTTTAACAAAAGGAATGTAGGTAGAATGATGTGTGTCACTTTCAGTCTAGGCTCGGAAGAACTGCCTACTTAAATTGCTCTATACTTCTCAGTAAATTTGTACAGCAAACTTTGAAGCCACATAGTGATGACAGCAGATGCATCATCAGCCTAAGTCTGTAAATAAAAACTGGGGGCAGATCCACTGCCTTATCCCCATACTTTCCAGCCTGGGTAAACCTTAGAATGTTATTTAAGCAAGAAATAAATTTCTATTGCATTGAGATATGTTTGTGTTTATTTATTACTGCAATATATTTTACATTAAAGCATCTTTAAGTAACTTGTCCAGGTTTTCTTCTTTAAATACAGTACTCATTTTATAAGTAGATTATTGTAGTTAAATGAGATCATAAATGCCTAGTTGTTGGTAAGTAATAAATACTCAAAGAATAGTAGTTATTCTTAATAGTATGATCATAGGTCAAAAGAAATTCTTAATGACTCACTTAGACAATAACTAGCTTCGAAATAAAAACATTTTAGTTAACAGGCTTCTAAATTCAACTCCAAAGATCAGTCCAAATGGATAGTACTCCAATAAAGTTTTAATACATATAGTTGAAAATTTGTATCCCTTTCTTTCTTCCATGGAATATCTACAAGACTTTTTCACTAATTTCTACAGTAAGCAGTGTTCTAAGTTGGCCCTCAATAACCTCACCTCCTTGAGTTCCCAACCATGTGCAGCTACCCTTCCCCTTGAGAACAGGCTGCAACTAGTGGCTTGCTTCTAACCAAGAGAATACAGCAAAGGGGATAGGATGTCACCGTCAGGTTAAAAAAAAATGTGTCTTCTTTGTATCTTGCTAGCACACTCTTTATTGCCTTACTCAGCTTTCACACTCTGAAAATGCAAGCTTCCATGCTGTAAAGGTTCTCATCACAAGGAACCAAGAGTTAGCTCTGACTAACAGCCAGCAAGAAACTGAGACCCTTAGTCCAACCATCTCTGAGGAACTGAATCTTACCAACAAAGGCTGAGTGAATTTGCAAGTGGATTGATCACTCCCTAGTTGAGGCTTCAGATGAAACTGCAGACCCTGGACTGCCATCTTTGTAAGAATGTGAGGCAGAGAATCCAGTTAAGCTGTGACCAGATTCCTGGTCTCCAGAAACTGTGAGATAATAAATGTGTATTTAAGTTGATAAATTTGGAGATAGTTTTTTATGTAGTAATTGATAACAGGCCTTTGGAGTAAACTTCGTAGATCAATCAAATGGCCTGCTCCCCAAATACTTTTCTTTATTATCCACAGATGAGATTATTATTTATCTTTTTTTATAGAACTTGCATGAGTATTTACAATAGTATAGATGACATTTTTATTTGTATTATGATTATTTTCATGCCAGTTTGGTATTCCCTAATAGGATGTATCCCCCTTGAGGGGGAATAATGATTGATATATTATCCATTTGATTTATTTCCTCGATGGTTTTTGACCAGTTTAATAGTTATTTAATGAATAACATAAATGCTAAAATAATGTTCTGTGTGCTACTTTGGAAATTTACATTGACAACTGATACAGGATAGTACAAATTTCTTTTTCCAATGAAAAGTAACTCATTTCTATGAAATTATGGACAAAGTATTTTTCTTTTTCAATTAATATTAAATCTATTTTCAAATATGCCATGTATAATTAAGTTCCTAGGATCATTAACTATGCATTTATACAGTTTTACTAAATTTATCTTTAGTTTTTTTAATAAATTATTCAGAGAACTTTTCCTACTATGATTCAGCAGATAATTAAGAGCATGATTCAGATTTACTAACTAAATGCAACTTTTTAAAATGGTAGCACTATAAGAAGCTTTATAATACACACACAAAACATATTGAAGCATGTAGAAATATTTAGGGATCTAGTAATCTTGTTATCATTAATGTAAACTAAAAGTGAAAAACAAAAAATCGGGTATATACCTAAAAATAACCAAAAGTAATAAATAGAATGTATGTATGTATGTATGTGTGTGTGTGTATGTATGTTGTGTGTGTGTGTATACATATAATATATATATGCACTACATATAAAAATATATAGGGCAAATTGGAAAAATTAAAATTTAGTTTTGATATAATAAAGGAATTATTTTTTATATTTGCTTTGCATTTTATGTTACATTTTATTAAAACATACTTTTAAAATCATTTTTGTATCAATTTTTGTCAAATTATAATCTTTTATCACTTAATAATAGAGGATAAGAAGCCTTTTAAGCACACAAAAAGATGACATTTTGATGGAATTCATTGAGTAATAATTTTATCAAATAATATATTTCTTTTCAAAAATACTATTAAATAAAATATCACACACAAATTGGACAGAATAGAAAGAAAAATGTCATCTTAAATCATCTATATCACCTTACAGGTAACTGTGTATAATTCTACAGTTATACAATGTGTTGATATATACTTGAAATGCATGAAATACAGAAAGGAAAAATTTATCAATATATTATGACAATTATTTTATGACAGATATTCATATTATTTCTATAGATAGAAAAATATCTGTATACATGATGTATAAATGCTAAAGCAAGAAATTTATAAAAGAAAAAGCTAGAAATTATACTACCAAATGAGTGATATTCTTCTGCATAGTAATTCCTTGGGGAAGCTTGTTCATAGAAATTTTATTGTATTGCAGCTCAGATGTGTGTATGGTTGCAATGATGCTGTAAGATGTTTTCTCTTGTAATAAAATTTGAACATAAATTGTTCAAAACAATTTTGGAATACTTTATTTGGTGTTATGTAGAAGTCATTCAATAAACTCTATAAGAAACTTGGTCTTCTTCTTTTGTAAACAACCAAACCCACCCATCATTAATAAAATTTTGCCAGCATTGAGGCTGTTCATACAAAAGTGTCACAGATTTTAAAGGCAGTTCCAGAAAATGAGTTGAAATACTGTTTTGAACAGTAATGTAATTGTTGAAATAAAGCATACAGCCTTCCAAGACAACAATTTCAAGGAAAATAGAATTACTTTTTTGATGATATAAATATTGGTATAAAACATTCTGACAACATTTTCCCAACACCTTGCTTTCTTGTGTAACACTATACACTTTGGACCTATGATGGATGTATGTAGGTATGAATATGTTTATTTGGTTGTCCTGCAGATTAATTATATGTTCCTTCCTCTACTATTTGTCTGAATACTAATATTGGATATTAATAATATAAATCATTAGCACAAATATGACCATAAAATATTCAAAGCATCTCTTAAAACACCCCTACAGCTGGACCGACTGAATGTGATCTTTAAACAAAATGTCATTGGAAGGCAATATTGAAAAAAAGAAATTTAATATCTTATCTATTCCATTGCAGAGATGAGAAGATTAAAACCTAGAGGAGTTAGCGATTTGTATCTTCCTAGATGTGGAAGAAACCAAAGGTACATAATCTCCTGAACTAAAAGAATAGCAACTAGGATATTTTAGTTCCCATTAAGCGACACAAAAAGGGAAAAAATCAGTAGTGACTTTTTGGGGCTTATATCTACCAAGTTATTTTAGGATGTTGGCTTTTTTAATGTTTTGGTACTTATAATATTATAATATATTTAGCGAGTAGTACAACTAGCACAAAATGAAACAACATGAAATGCTGCCTCTTAATATCTACAACCCTTATTTTTGCAAGCATCAATCATTTTATATGTGGACAGTGTGACCTGACAGCCTTATTGGAGACATTCCTTCTCCAATGCATTCTAAAGTAAGAAGTAAGATGTTCTTTCTTGTAATAAAATTCTAAGATTTTAACTTTCTCAGATTCTAATGACATTCATTAACTTTTCTCAGAACAAGTAAATATGAGCAGGTATTATTTACAAAATAGGGAGTTCAAAACTATTCTCATTACCTCTTGGATTGCCCTAATCACACATTCTTTCCCCTCTCTGTAAACCACTTTAATTGACTGGGAGCAGAAACAATATCCCTAAACTAATTAAGAAACATAAGTAAGCAATAGTGCTAAATGGGGAACCATACGATGGCATCTGGTAAGTGTAATAATAGCAATATTGCATTATGCTTATTTGGACCTTTGCAGCAAAGACTAATCAATGATACATTATATCATTGTGTAACACTATACACATTGGACCTATTATGAATGTATGTAGGCAGGAATATGTTCATTTGGTTGCCCTGCAGATTAATTGTATGTTCCTCTCTCTACTACTTGTCTGATACTAAATTTGGATATCAATAATAGTGGGAGTAGAAAATGTGTTGTTCTAGATTGAGTTCTTTCCCTTTATTTCCCTCTTGTTTCTTTTTTCCCTATACTTCTCTATTCTTTCACATGTGCAACATTCATTTTCCTGCTTACACCAGCTTGAAGTACGATTTAAAAATCCTAAATAAAAAGAAAATTGTCCTTGCTATATACTATTTTTTAAAGTAGAATCTCTAAATGTCAGCCCTCTCTCAGGTTCCTTTCTCTCTCTCTAGTGCTTTCAACCATATATAAGGTTGTATGTTAGTAACTGAGGTCACAGAGCCTACAGCTAACTGCCTGAGTTAAAGTCCAGTGACCTTGGGCAAGTTCTAAATCTATCTCATTCTCCTTATGTATTCAATGATATTACATTAATAACAACAACAATTCTACATCATAGGATTATTGTGAGGATAAGTTAATGTCATAAAGCACATAGGGTGATACCTACCAGAGTAAGCATCTAAAAATATTAGCTATTGTGATTATTTTTGACATTCTTTCTAGACCTTTACACGTTCTGAAAGTTTTTCAAGCCTACTTATAATAATTTATGTCACTTTATTTCTGACTATACCATTTTTATACCTTTTATATAACTTAGTATTTCAGTTTCTTAAACTTCCCATGCAACATGATCTTTACTACTACATCACATTCAAGGTGGTTACCTCTTCTATCTGGGTGTTGCACAGTGCTTTAGGAACACAGTGATTTGAGAGACTAGATCTTAAAACTGAATTTCCACTCCAATCTGTTTAGCTATTGTCTCTGTCATGAGCTCTTTAAGAGGTCGTTGCAAAAAGCACCCATGGGACTATTGTCTAAATACCCAATTTCCCATTATGAGCAAGCCAAGGCTAACCAATGCTGAGACTTTTAGAACAAAAAGCAAGTACAAAGTGTATACATGCAAGATTCAGATCTGCTGACGACTCCTTCAATAAGTCACTTTTTGAGTCTCATATTTCTATTAATTAATAAATTAGACACAATTATCAGATCATTTTTCATGAGAAATAGGTTCAGATGTCTTCACATGTGTATAGCACAGTGCAAGTCTCAAAGTATAGTACTTCTGATTTTAGTGCCAGCTTCACTCCTTATTTTAAACTTGGAGATTCAATCCCAGTTTTCAATGTTTGGGCTTAGAAACTGATACCCTAAAATATGACATTTGGACATGCTGAACTGAAGAAGCCTCAAGGTCGCTCTGAACTCCCCATCCATCTATCTCTCAATCGTTTTTCTCTCCCAAAGCACAGAATGAGGTTGTTCTCTGGAGTTCCCTTATCTGCCTAAACTCTGGACCTGCCAAAGGAGAAAACAATTGCCTCTGGTCCCTTCCCTGAGTTTTCATTAACTGAACTCATGTTGCCAGAAAAAAAGATTGAAATCTCTCAACACACCTGACAGCCTTTTGTCACAAACCCTTGTTCTGCAGGCCCAACAGACTTTGTTCCAAGCCGTTGTATGTTCTTCAAGTTTATTGAATTTTCCTCAAAATCATTTACTGGCCCCCTTAAATCATCCACATTTTCCCATCTCCATTTTCCCTAAGAAGAAGGGTATAGAACCATCCATACCCCACGTGTGGTAATCACTCTGCAATTTTCCTCCATGCATGTTAATAAATGTATGTGCTATTTATTCTATTAATCGGTCATTTGTCAGTTAATTTTCAGTGAACCTTCAGAGGACAAAAGAGAAGTTTTCCCCCGGCCCTTACCCCACCACATAGATGTGTGATGTGCTGTGTCCTTTTGGTAAAGTACAGATAATAGCAGGTTCTTTTTCACAGAGGGCTGTGAGAGTTAAACCTGAATGTATGTAAAGCCCCTGTTACATTGCTCCTAGAACTTCTCAAACTATTTAGAAGTTCAAGCTCTAGATATGGCAAAAAATATTTCAGATTGAAGGTTTGAAATTAGACATCCCAAAATTTGAATAACTACAACCTGTTGAATTTGCAGTGGATTTCCCTGGTTACAACTTGAAATGGTCAGAATACTATATTAAATGAAATAAATATCCAGATAATAGTATTTATGCACAAGTTTTATTTTTTTAAATACTTAAGTTTTTTTCTCAGTTTGCTTTAATTGTGGAGCTTTGACCCTTGAAAAATATTTTAATGACATGTGACAATTAGCTGTTTTTCTGACTTCTATCAATTTGTTTTGTTATTACAATTTCTAGCTTACTTTTGTTCATGTATACATGATGGCATGAACACATATACACCTACAGTCAGAGCTGTGCTATTTGTTCCATGCTATCACTAGATGCAATGACAAATACTGTAACTGCAGCATTTGCAGTAGATGTTTTTGCCTTTGTTTTCCAACATAAATTATTTTCTTTTGCAAATAGTCTAAGGTTACCACAACACAATTTTTGAAGAGTCTCGCCTCTACTTTCTATAAAATTCTATGGTATAACAATTATATTTCCTTTAAAAAATTCTTTCTGGGAAAGCGAAAACACTTGTGAATGATAATACACCTTCTATTTGGAAAGCAAACCCTGAAACTCTCTAAAGCCTGCAGTTCTAGCAATTATTATATCACAGTTTCACTTTGTCAGGACTAAATGTCTCACATCCTTGCTGGAAGAGAGGAAGACCTAAGATTATAATATATTTGAACAAGAAGGCACTAACTTTGCATTATTTTCCATTCTTCTTCCTGTCTTTGTCAGGAGGAGGGATCCATGCTGTGCTATTCTCTATTCTGCTTGCCACCTTTGTCATGAGAATGAGACACCAGAATCGGAATGTTTCCTGTGAGATATAATAGCATGCTTTCCTACTCTCACCTCTCAGGATGTTGTATTTAGTTAGGTTAGAGCCCCGAATCCCTTAGGGCATCAGCGTAACATTCTTGGAAGGTATACTTTTTGCTTGTATTTATTGTGAAAGCATTAAATGTCTTGGTCAGCTTTACAGGCCTTCCCTATCTCAAACAAAACCTGTTCAAAAAAAGTTGTTTATTTTTTATTCTCATCAGGACAATCAATTGTATGTTATAATTTGTGGAATACAGAAACATATATGACTTGATTATTTTTAAAAAATATCTAACACTTATGAACATTTTAATATTCCAGTTGCATATAGAAATATAGAGCAAGTAGCTAAGTATGCATTTGGGAGACAATGTGGTAAGATGGACATCTAGATTAAAAAGGGTTAATTCCCTCAATGACGTATTTATTTTGTATTTAGAAAAATTCTACGTATTAATTTTTATTTTGCTTGAGTGTCAGATTTTAAAATTACTCTTAAATTTGCCTCTCATCCACTCTAAGATTTTGTATTGTATTTTTAGATCGTGCTGCTGTCCTACCATGTAAAATGAAGCCTGCTGATATACTTTCATGTAGCCACTTGTTTTTCACAAATGTTAGGATATGTGGAGCCAATATGATAAATATCTGCACACAGCTGCATTTTGCTATATAGGCAGTATTTTATCCTATTGCAGGATGACGGGATTTTGGAGCAAGGCCCTGCCATCTTCCGCAGATAACTACTCGCCTTTTGAGAGACAGCTCTTGGCCCATTACAGGGCTTTGGTGGAAACTGAACGTGTTACTATGGGTCATCAAGTCACCATGTGACCTGAACTGCCTATCATGATCTGGGTGCTTTCTGACCCACCTAGCCATTAAGTAGGTTGTGCACAGCAGCATTCCATCATCAAATGGAAGTGGTATATAGATGAGCCGGCTTGAGCAGGTCTCGAAGACACAAGTAAGTTACGTGAGGAAGTGGCTCAAATGGCTATGGTCTCCAATCCTGCCACCCTGCCTTCTCTCTCCCAGCCTGAAATGATGGCCTCATGGGGAGGTCCCTATGATCAGTTGACTGAGGAAGAGAAGACTAGGGCCTGGTTCACACGTGCTTCTGCACGATATGCAGGCACCACCCGAAAGTGGGCAGTTGCGCACTACAGCCCCTTTCTAGGATATCCCTGAAAGATAGCAGTGAAGGGAAATCTTCCCAGTGGTCAGAACTTCAAGCAGTGCACTTGGTTGCACACTTTGCATGGAATGAGAAATGGGCAGATATGTGATTATATACTGATTCATGGGCTGTAGCCAATGGTTTGGCTGGATTGCCAAGGACTTGGAAGAACCATGATTGGAAAATTGGTGACAAAGAAATTTGGGGAAGAGGTATGTGGGTGAACCTCTATAAGTGGTGAAAAACTGTGAAGATACTTGTATCCCATGTGAGTTCTTACCAATGGGTGACCTCAGCAGAGGAGGAGTTTAATAATTAAGTGGACAAGATGACCCGTTCTGTGGACACCACTCAGCCTTTTTTCCCAGCCACCCCTGTCATTGCCAAATGGGCTCATGAACAAAGTGGCCATGATGGCAGGGATGGAGGTTATGCATGAGCTCAGCAACATGGACTTCCACTCACCAAGGCTGACCTGGCTATGGCCTCTGCTGTGTGCCCAGTTTTCCAGTAGCAGAGACCAACACTGAGCCCTCGATATGGCACCATTCCTCAGGTGTTCAGCCAGCTACCTGGTGGCAGGTTGATTATATTGGACGTCTTCCATCATGGAAAGGGCAGAGATTTGTCCTTACTAGAATAGACCCTTACTCTGGATATGGGTTTGCTTATCCTATTGCCTAATGCATGCAATACTTCTACCAGGACTACCATTTGTAGATTCACAGAATGCCTTATCCACCATAATGGTATTTCACACGGCATTCCGTCCAACCAAGACACTCATTTTACAGCTAAAGAAGTGTGGCAGTGGGCTCATGCTCATGGAATTCACTGGTCTTACCATGTTCCCCATCATCCTGAAGCAGCTGGATTGATAGAATAGTGGAATGGCCTTTTGAAGTCACAATTACAATGCCAATTAGGTGACAATACTTTGCAGGGCTGTGGCAAAGTTCTCCAGAAGGTCATGTATGCTCTGAATCAGCATCGAATATATGGTACTGTTTCTCTCATAACCAGGATTTACAGGTCCAGGAACCAAGGGATGGAAGTGAAAGTGGCACCACTCACCATCACCCCTAGTGATCCACTAGCAAATTTTTTTGCTTCTGTTCCCGCAACATTACATTCTGCTGGCCTAGAGGTCTTAGTTCCAGAGGGAGGAACACTGCCACTGGGAGACACAACAATGATTCCATTAAACTGGAAGTTAAGATTGCGAACTGGATACTTTGGTCTCCTCCTACGTTTAAGTCAACAGGCTAAGAAGGGAGCTATGGTGTTGGCTGGGTGGTTGACCCAGACTATCAAAATGAAATCAGTCTACTACTCCACAACTGAGGTAAGGAATAGCACACATGGAATTCAGGAGCTCCATTAGGATGTCTCTTAGTATTACCGTGCCCTGTGATTAAGGTCAATGGGAAACTACAACAGCCCAATCCAGGCAGGACTACAAATCACCCAGACCCTTCAAGAATGAATGTTTGGGTCACTCCATCAGGAAAAACCCACGACCACTGAGGTGCTTGCTAAAGGCAAAGGGAATACAGAATGGGTAGTAGAAGAAGGTAGTCATCAACACCAGCTATGACGACGCGACCGGTTGCAGACACAAGGACTGTAATTGTCATGAGTACTTCCTCTTTCTTATGTAAAGAACATGTTTGTGCATGTATAGACTTGTACTAAGAAAATATCTGCATTTTATTTCCTTTCTCCTTTATCATGTGACACAAGATTTATTGACTTCATAACAGCATTTAAATATTGTTAACTTTATGTACTAGTATTTGGGTTGGGGATTGGTGAATTTCCAGTTGTAAAAAGGATAGTTGTATTAGGTTAGGCATAATTATGACCTTTATTGTCTTTATTTGAAGATTATGTATGATCTCAGGAGATGTGTATGGGTTCAAGTTGACAAGGGGTAGACTTGTGATGGTTAATACTGAGTATCAACCTGATTGAATTGAAGGATACAAAATACTGATCCTGGGTGTGTCTGTGAGGGTGTTGCTGAAAGATATTAATTTGAGTCAGTGGGCTGGGGAAGTCAGATCCACACTTAATCTGGTGGGCAGAATCTAATCAGCTGCAAGCAAATTTAAAGCAGGCAGAAAAATGTGAAAAGGAGAGACAGGGCTAGCCTCCCAGCCTACATCTTTCTCTCATGCTGGATGCTGGATATATATATATATATATATATATATATACTATTATATGTATATATAATAGTATACATATACATATATACATATAATAGTATATATATATACACTATTATATATACATATATACATATAATATGTATACATATATACATATATACATATAATATGTATACATATATACATATATATACATATACTATTATATGTATATATACTATTTTATATATATACTATTATATGTATATATAATAGTATATATACACATATATACTATTATATGTACATATAATAGTATATATACACATATATACTATTAGTTCTGTCCTTCTAAGAGAATGCTGACTAATACAGGATCTGAGGAAATTTAAACTTAAGAATGATGACATAGGGTATCTATCAGAAGAAATTCCTAAGCAGCAAAGTGTTGAAGAAGTGGCCTGGTTGTTTCTAACAGCCTACAATAAGATATGAGAACAAAGAAATTACTTAAAGTTGGAACTTACATTTAAAAGGGAAGCAGAGTTTGGAAAATTTGCAGCCTGGCCCTGTAGTAAAGAAAGAATCCAAGCAGTCTGCAGATCAACCACTTGGTGGAGAGATTAGATGACTAAACGGGTGCCAAGTGTTAAGACAATGGGAAAAAGAGCTCAAAGTCACTTCAGAAATCTTCAGGACAGCCCCTCTATCACAGGCCCAGAGGCTTAGGAGGAAAGAATGGTTTCAAGGACCAGTCCCGGGTTCCCACTGCCCAATACCACCTCAGGAGAATGTTGTCTGCATCCTAGCTGCTCCAGCGCCAGCTGTGACTCAGAGAGCACCAGGTACAGCTCAGTCTCCTGCTTCAGAAAGCACAAGGTGTCATAAGCCTTGGCAGCTTCCATGTGGCATTAAGCCTGCAGGTGTGCAGAATGCCAGAGAGAAGGAGGCCTGGCAGCTTCCCCTTATATTTCAGAGGATGTTTGGGAAAGCCTGGGGGCCCAGGAACAAGCCTACTGCAGGGGCAGAGTCTCCACAGATAGCCTCTCCTATGGAAGTACCAAGAGTAAATGTGAGGTTCAAGCCCCTACACAGAGTCCCCACTAGGGCATTGCCTAGTGGAGCTGTAGGGAAAGGGCTGCTGTGGGAAAAGGGGCTGCTGCCATCCCAATCCCAGAATAGTAGAGCCACCGTAAGTTTGTGTCTTGAGCCTGGAAAAGACACAGGCACTCTACTCCAATCTGTAAGAACAGCTGAGGGACTGCAACCTGCAAAGCTAGAGGGGCAGAGCTACCCAAGGCCTTGGGAGCCCACACATTGCACCAGTGTACCTTGGATGTGGGACATTAAGACAAAGGAAATTATTTTGTAGCTTTAAGATTTAATGACTGTCCTGCTGGGTTTAGAACTTGTGTGGGGCCCATTACCCCTTTCTTTTGGCCATTTTTTTTTCTTTCAGAACAAGAATGTTTGCCCAATGCCTATACAACAATTGTATCTTGGAAGTAAATAACTTGATTTTGATTTTACAGGCTCATAGGTAGAAGGAACATGACTTGAGTCTCAGAAAAGACTTTGGACTTTGGACATGAGACTTTGATTTGATGCTGGAACATGTTGAGACTTTGGGGTACTATTGGGAAAGGATGATTGTATTTTGCAATGTGAGAAGAATGTGAGATTTTGGGGACAAGGGGTGAATTGATATGGTTTAGATGTTTTGTCCCCTTTAAATCTCAAGTTGAAATGTGATCCCCAATGTTGAAGGTGGGGCCTAGAGGGAGGTGTTGTGGACATGGGGGCAGATCCCTTATGAATGGCTTGATGCCCTCCCCCTGATAACAAGCAAGTTCTCACTCTGAGTTTATGGGAGATCTGGTTGTTTAAGCAGTCTGGCTCTTCCTCCTTCTTTCTATCTCTTGCTCCCTCTCTCACCATGTGATGTGCTGGCTCCTCCTTCATCTTCTAGCATGATTGTAACTTTTCTGAGGCCCTCAACAGAGGTAGATGCCAGCTCTACACATCCCATAGAGCCAGCAGAAATGTGAACCAATTAAAATTATTTTCTTTACAAATTATCCAGCCTCGGGTATTTTATTATGGCAACACAAGAATGGACTGACACAGCCTCATCCTTCATTTGGCCCCTGGATTAGGCTATCTTCTCTGTAGCACTTAATGTTTTGTCACCTCCCACCATGGTCACAGTAGTGACACCTATGGCAGATCCACTGGCTCAGTGTCAACTCAGTGACTTCTGGAACCCCTTTCATCCAGGATATTCATGGATCTGTTATTCCCTTGATGCCTCACATGGTCCAACAGAAGCTTAGGTGCAGTAAGCTCAGGACTTCTTCTGCCTAGCCAGGATGGATTCAAAGTTTTTCATCACGCACTGCCTTAGGGATGTGGGGGTAGTATGAAGTAATCTCCTTCTGGATTTCCAAATAGGATCATGGAACAATCTTACTGCCATTTTGGTCCCCTCAATTCCTCCAACACACCTTCTAACTCTGGGCTTCTGTCTAGAGAGAAATCAGGACACACATTCCACTGGCAGCTTCACTTATCACTCTTCTTCCTTGTCATTGCAATCCCTTGGAGGGGCAGCGTCTGTCCTACTCTAGATCATCTCTATGTCAAGCTGTATGATATAGTTCACCAGGCCCATAGCTCAATAGATTCAAGGTGTGAAAACTATTATTTTTTGAAGTATTTTTTTGTAGATAAAGCTTAGTTATAAATATACTTGTCTTACTTGAGACTAAAAATATCCTATTTTGAAGATCAGAAACTATTTTTCTCTTATCTTTTTGTTCTAAAGATCATTATTCATATATCCCAAGCCATAAAAAAGTCTTATTGAAAATGGGACAAATATTATATAGAAGAAAATGAAAAGAAGAAAATCCCACATTGCTATATTTTCTATTTCAAAATAATAAGCTCTGTTCAGAGAAATGCTTTACCAATAGGCCAGGAGCCTGATGCGAATTCCCTCTCAACCCCATCATTTACTTACTTCCAGTGGGCTCTAAATTACCCCTAGAGAAGGGGTAATGCCAGATTCTTATTTCTATTGTCTCATGGGCCTCAGTTGATAGAGATTTGAGACACAATGTGCTTGTGTCTTAGAATTCAAGAATGTGTTAGCATTTGAGATTAAACTTTACCATTAGAAACAACATCGTTCAGAATATCACGGTGTCTGATTATCTCTGGCAGAAATGGTAGGCTCGTGGGCTTTGAAGTCACTCTCACACTGATAAAGTAAATTTGGAAGTTTGATTCTATAACTCCATGGAGGCAGCTGATACTTCATTCCAGCTTTTATCAGGAGGTTAGAGCCCTTTCACAGCTGTTCTGCTAATAACCAGTGTTAGGTTTAGTTTAGAGGCCTTCATACCCTAGGATGCCTGAGGATCTAGTGTTGTTCTCATGCCTACCAGGTTTTGCAGTTCAGAGTCACAGCTTCCCAAGCTGTGTGCCAGTCAGTCTTCCCTGGGGCATGAGTGGTCAGGGCTAGTTCTAGAGGCCAGCTATAGAAACTCTGCCCAGTGTCCTGCAAAGCCACCCAACAAAGGTGTCTCAAAGCTACTCAAAGAATAACAGGTCTTGCTACATTATTTTCCCAGGACAATAGGGCCTGCTAACTAGACATTTAATCATGTCAGGAATACTAAAATTATTCTTTCAAGAGCAGAAAAGATCATATAAAGGTAATTTGCCCTTACTCTTATATAGAGCACTGAAGCAATTTTTCTCAGAACAAAGGGGGTAGCCTTCCTTCATACAAGCTATGTGTTTGTAATTTATGCATATGTCTATGTGGTGATTGAATAGATGCCTGTCATCTACTAACTGGAAATTTCACAAGTGTAGATGCCTTTTTCATTTGGTTTTCCTTTGTGCCTCCAGTGCCTAATACAGAACCTGATGCAGAAAAGGGATGATAAATAATTGTGAAGTTAACAAATTAATAATTCTACTCCAAAGTAATTTTCTCCTGCTATAGTGTGAATTATTTGGCACCTTTTCTAACTAAAGATAGAGAAGGGGAAAAAAAACACCAACTTAATCTCTGATGTTGTACCCTTCAAGAGAAATATCTTCTGAAAAATAGATAGTGATTAAAGACTCAGATTTATTAAACTTACAAGTAAGTATTTTCAGAACTAACAGAATTTAAGTTTACTTTTCAAATCAAAGAAATCCATCAGCATTTATTTGAGTATATTAAATAGTGTTTTGCAAAACATCAGTTCTCAGGATTTTGCTAGAAAAAATGTGAAAAAAATTATCCAAAATCAAATAAGTTTAAAACAAATATGGCAAACAGGCTTCTTTACTGAAATACTTTTCATAGTAGTTGAGGGAATAATATACTCTGGAATATAGTATGCTGGTATCAAAAACTTATTTGACCAGGGAACTTTATTTTTATAGTAACTTTCGTAATACTTATGTTCCATGTTGAAAATGTCAGATTAGAAAACATTTTAAAATTTCAAAGCTAAACTCCAGAAAATAGTGTGAAGCAATTCATTATGATGATACTATGGCAATTTGTACATCTTAAAGCCTTCACATATTAAGCTTTATTTTCTATCAGATTATGAGCCAGAAAGTAACTACATTTTATTCATCCTTGTTGCAAACATTTCAGCACTTACTCATTCTTGGAATATAGCAAGAGCTCAATAAATATTTGTTTAATAAAGCAGGCAATGAGAGTTTTATCAAACTAAAGTGTTTGCTGCATTGCATGTAATAATTATACTGAATTAGAAATGCTTTTGGATGGTCTGAAAATACAAATAATGCATACTAATGGAAATGTGTGCTGTTGAAAGTTATTTTTAAAATTTTCAGATTAGGAAGAAAAATGCATACATACATTTTTCTACAGAAGAGGAAAACATAGATAGAATAAACTTATTATACCAAAATGTGCTGGCAAGAATTAATTTTAAAAATCTGTGTAACAAAAAACAATAACTAAGTTTCAATAAATAGAATATGACCTCTCTGAAGATTCTACATGGTCTTGATTTTCGTATTATTAGTATCTTTCCTATGGAATGATTTAACAGGTGTGGGTCCCTAATTGTTGCCTCATACTACAGAGTTTACCATGATGGAATAACTCCATTTGGTTATCTGCAAAATTTCACAGATTAGACTGTTCTATTGCTTAGATTAGTTCTGAGAGCCATTCACAGCTAGATAAGGAAATACACCAAATAATACTGCAATGGATAATGGTAAAGTCTGCAATATCCTAATGATGGAAGTTCAAAGTGGAGTCAATAAATGATTACAACAAGAGCATACTATTTTTATAGGGTTTGTCAAACATTTCTCAAATATTTGGGAAAGCATCTAAATATCCCTAATTTGACTTTAAACATAATCAGCAGACTCCTAAACATCGTAATTGGAAGATTAGTAGAAAGGCCATTCATAGGCTATTGATTTTTTTCATCTGACGGACTACAATCAGTAAAGAAGATCACAAGTACTCTATTTCACCTCAGTGAATGTTGAGAACAAATGTGGTTGGACGTAAGTGCTTTGACATGAAGACTGCGTGACACAAGTGAAAGAAATGTTTTCTATTAATACATTTAGACAATTCTTGGAAATATTCTATTTTTGAGCTATACATTATTCTTTGTGGAGAGGAAATGTTATTTGCCTGGTCTGTTGCCTTTCCTTTATCCTCAAACACATCTAAGGATTTGACCTTTGCTTAAATCCTCCTCCTTGAAATATGAACACCAGGAACATGTTAGTGTGTGGCAGATGCAAGATAAATGAATCCTGCTAAGGTTGATACATAATGAATAACATACCTGTACTTGAGTGCCTAGACTGTTTATTGAGTGACTTGTATAGGAATAACCTAAAATTAATGAGTAATTAGTTGCACCAGAGATAGGATTTGATTCCACACCTCTGGAAGGATTCTGAGTCTAGTGAAGTAGAAAAGCTGATGAGATCCTAGAGCTGATGGCTTCCCTGAGCTGAGGTGGTCCATGGCCACTAGACCTTATCTTCTATGATTATGCATATCCCAATTTGGAAAGATTCAACATTTGGTGGCTGTAGCTGGGGGTCATAAGCCTCTGTTCTGCTATTCTTGCACATTCAAGATTGGCCATCCCGTGTCCTTTCTTGGAGGATATGTGAAGCCTATTCTTAGGGGCTGAGTGAAGTTCATTTTGTCTCATGAGTTTAATGGGCAATCCAAACCCAAGACCACAACTGTTAGTTAAGCATAGTAAATATTGTCCTGTACAAAACATATTCAGTATATTTGTTTTAAATCTTCCATTTAAATATTCTATTAAACTTCCAATATCCCAGAAGTTGATGAAAAAGAGAATAAGATTTATATGTTAGTTTCCTAAGTCTGCCATAACAAATTGCCATCAACTGGGTGGTCTAAAACAACAAAAAATTATTGTCTCACAGTTACGGATGACAGAAGTCTAAAATCAAGTTGTTGCCAAGGTCATGATCACTCTTAAACTTCTTGTGGTGGATCCTTCCATGCTTCTTCTACCTTCTAATGGTTATAGACAATTCTTGACATTCCTTGGCTTGCAGCCACATTGCTCCATTCTCTATCTCCGTTTTCACATGGCATTCTGTGTGTGTGTGTGTGTGTGTCTATGTCTTCTTATAAGGATACAAGTCATTGGATTAAAGCCCACTCTAATCCAATATAACCTCACCATGATTTATAAATAGGGTCTTGACAAAATGTGTTCAAGTCCTAACCCCTGGTACCTGTGAATATGACTATATTTGTAAATAAGTTTTTTTGACAAGACTCCTGAACACATTTGGGGGACACAATTCAATCCATGGGAGTTCATCATATGATAACTTACAGCCACATTCCCTTTTAAAGTTTTTCTTGTTATTGATTGCTTGATAAATTTATTCATTCAAAAATATTTATTGAGCTGAGTACTTTTCTAGGTGCTTGGAATAGAGTAGAAAATAAAACACACATTGCTTTTATCTTCATGGATCTTAGATTCTAATGATGGCAGATAGAAAATATATAAACAATTAAACATAGAATGTGTCAGATAGTAATAAATATCAGAGAAAAGAATAAGGCAGGGTAGAAAGGTCAGGGTCTGCCAAGGAAAGATTAGTACTTTGTATCAGATGGTTAGAGGAGATTCTACCAATACAATGACACTCTCTGAATGAGGCAAGAAATGACTAAAGGATATTGAGCAGAGAAATGACAAGATCTGAAGTATGCTTTAAAAGGATCATCAGGCTTTTGTGACAATAGACTAGAAGAGAGCATTGGGATTCTAATCAGTAAGGAAGGAAACAAGTGCCCTATCCTACCTTGGAAGTGGGAAGAGGAGGTAGGAAGTTATTGGAAATGAGTATGTAAAAGAAGACCACGGCTATCGAGAAGCCAGTAATGGAGGTGATGAGAAGTGGTGGGATTCTGACTGTGTCTAAAAGTTTGTGTCAGAAGGATTTCCTGATAGAAATCCTACAAGATTTTTTACCTCATCAGTTCAAATTATAAAGTTGGCATTTACTAGGATGGCAAGACTATAGGAGCTGTGTGTGTGTTGGCAAGACTATAATAAGGGTGAGTGCATGTGTGTGCATGTGCGTGTGTGTGTGTGCGTGTGTGTGTGTGTAAGAAGGTATGCAGGCTTTTAATTTTTGACATGCTGATATTAAGATGAGTATTAGAAATCCAGATAGAGATTTAAATATAGAGCTAGATATACAAATTCAGAGTTCAATGGAAAGGTGAAATAATTGATACATTTTTAAGTAACAGCAAAATTAAACAGTATTTAATTCTATAAAAGTAGATGAAAATATCTCCTCTAATTGATCATGTGATAAGCTCTACAGTGTCTGCAATGTTACATCAGGTATGGTTATCATAATATCCAGGGCATTTCTTTCCCTTAACCTTGAGATTATTCTCTCAATATATAGGCCTTTATACTCTGCAGCTGTTTACTAAAGCTGATTGCGTGGGGGAGAAGGAAGCATATTTTATAGGAGGCTTTAAAATAGACTAGCTGGCTGATTTTGAATGATTTGCTTATATTCAGTTAAGCAATGGCATGAACTAGTTGATATATTGAGCCCTGATCCACCTCTGTTATTCTAGCCACTGACTTCCTTCTCATTTCAATTTGAAGAAGTTAAATTCCTTTTCCTCTACTATGTTGTCAGGGCATTTGCCAACACAAAGTGGGCTGTCAGGTTTCTTTTCCACCTTTACTGGGTGATCATTTTCAGACAGAGATATGATGTTGAGAAGTACTACTCTTTGTTCCATGCTAACGTTTCCAGTATAATTCAAAACAGGCTTCTTACTATTCATTTGCACTGCTGCTTTGCCTTATTCTCAATGCTGAAATCCTTGTCTGACCTTCTATTTTTATTAAATACATTTGAATGTTATTCATGATTTTCCTTACCAAGGCCAAATTCTCAGTGACCTTCATGAACTCTCTTGATAAATAAAGAATATAAGTGCTAACCCAATTCCCATAGTCCAGTGTGTTTTCTTGTTAGTACAGTGATTCTTAAAGATAATATTTACTACTTTTTGTTTAACAGAAAACACTGAAGGGAATTTCTTCTGTCTTGATTTGGTTAAAGAAAGTAGGCATTCTTGAAAACTGCTAAGACAATGAATGTTAGATGTTCTCACCACAAAAATGATAACTACATGAGTTAATGCAAATGTTAATCAGCTAAATTTAGTCATTGCATGATGTATATATAAGTCAATGCATCATATTGTACAGAATAAGTACATATAATTTGATCTGTCAATTAAAAACATAAAAAAAAGTAGGCACACATTTAGTAGATCAATTGTACTTTGAGAAAGAACTTAAAATAGAAGAAACTATGCAGTACTGACCATCTGTAATAAGCCCCTGGCTGTCCTTAAATTCCACTTTTTTATCTCCAACTATGCTTAATAAAATACACAAGGCAAAAAAAGCCTATCTTTATTTAAATAAAAAATACTTCGTTTTTATGTCTTAATCTTTATCAGTAAATCACACAGTTGCAAATGAAATTTAGAAATAGTTAACAAAATGTGATCGTCTGGTTCTGAGCTGTGTTGATATTTAGGATAACATAACATTTCCTATCAAAGTGATATTCAAATAGAAAAATCTCATCACATTAAAGTATTATTTACATATTCATATACTCCTTCCTTCAGGCAAAGACTCCAGCCTTTCTTTACAGATGGATTTAGCAATGAAACATAAAAAACAAACACAGAGGAAAGAACTGAAGTATCACATAGGAACTAGTAACATGTATTACCTCTCTTCACTTCCCAAAAAGTCTTACCTATTGCATCTTCATAAACGTTCTTGGAACCTCATAACTCAGAATAATTATGAAATAGAGCAATAGTAGTAAAACTAGCACATCTAATTTTTTTCCTCAGAAGTTTTTAAACATTAAAGAACTCTCAATATCCTTGAGTTGTCTTCTTTGCATAATGTTTAACAATCAGTGAAATGCCATCAAAAATGTTGTCAGAAAAATGATATCACTGTGGCTAAATTAAAGACTTCTTATTCTTGTTCTAAGTATATGTTCTCCATTATCTCAGAGTCCCGATTATTAACAGTGCTTCTTGTTAGTCATTGAGATAAAAGGTACACTTCAAAAGAGGCCTTTTTTCGGAAAGATAAAAACACAGAAAAATTGTAAATAAAAAAGAGAGAAGGAGAAGATAGAAGGTGGGAAGATTATGGTGACTGGAAACAAGAAGACAGGAAAATAGAAAGCTAAAAAAAAAAATCATGAACTTGAGATTAAAGCTTTGCCAGCCCCCTCTCCCTCCTAGTAATGTATGCCAACAAAATCCGTAGCATATCATTTCCTTAAAGGCCTCAATCCTAGTCTTCCTAGAGGAAACGTCTCCCCTAACCCCAGATATTTGTTTTGCTTTCATCTCCCTTTTGCTAGCAGCTGATGTGCCTTTTATGCTTCTAGCTCCCTGTTGAACTTAGCCATGTTATGTAATAGAAGGCAGAATGTCAGTCTTTTAAAGGATCTATTATATTTCTAAGACATTTTGATTTTCATGAACTTCAAAACATTTCTGGGTAGCTGACTTTAGCAGCATCATATGAGAAGGCTTTTAAATAGTGCAGTGCAATTGTGCAAATCAGTACTAGATACTGCTGTTTGTTGGGAGGCTATGGGTCTTACTCCCAGTAACTGCTGATTGTACCTGATGTCTTGTCTTGGCTCTTGCCATGATCCCTGATGCAGATTTCTTAAGAATTAATTGGATTATTATTTATTGCTAAAATTGTTTTGCTTCTTTAATATCAAATCAATATAGTATATGCACTGTGTTATAAAAGTTAAATTGTGCTAAAAAGTTTATAATAATAATAATAATAATAATAATACAACAGTTCTAGGCTGGGCATGTTGGCTCACACCTGTAATCCCAGTGCTTTAGGAGATGGAGGCAGGATTGCTTGAGGCCAGGAATTTCATACCAGCCTGGGAAACATAGCAAGACCCCATCTCTACAAGAAATTTTAAAGATAAAAAATAATAAAAAAGTTAGCCAGACATGGTGGTGCATGCCCATAGTCCTAGCTACTTGGGGGAAAGCTGAGATGGGAAGATTGCTTGAGCCCAGGAGTTTAATGTTACAGTCAGCTATAATTGTGCCATGGCACTCTAGCCTGGACGATAAAGGAGACTGTGTCTCAGAAAAATGGGGGAGGGCAGCCACTTGCCCTCTTTTCCTGATTCTGCTCCCCAGAGACAATCATATTTCTAACTATTATGTGAAGACTGCTATTTCTATTAAAAACAATTTACTTCTCATAAAGTATAAGAGAATTTTAATTATTTACATGCCTTTCTTCTTCTCCCATCCTCCAAATGAAGTTCTATTTGAACTGTTGTACACACTTTAAAAAACCTTTTTATTTTGAAATAATTTTAGATTTGCAGAAGAATTTCCAATATAGTATAATTTCTGTATTATAGAGAGTTGTCATTTACCCTTTACCCAACTTCCCCTAATGTTAATATCTTACATAACCATAGTCAAACTTAAGAAATTAATGTTGGTACAATACTACTAAATAAAGTCTGAAATTTGTACAGATTTCATTGGTTTTGCCACTAATGTCACTTTTCTGTCCCAGGATCTAATTTAGGGTACCACATTGCATTTACTTGTCATGTGGCCTTAATCTCTTCTGTTTTGCTACCTTTTCTTAGTTTTCTTGTTTTTCATGATCTTAACACTTTTGGGAAATGCTGCTCAACCATCTTATAGAATGCCCCTTAATTTATGTTTATTTGATGCTTTTTCATAATTATACTGAGGAAATACATTTTTCCACAAAGATGAGGTGCCATTCTCATCGCATCATAACAGGGAGGACATGACACCAACATGACTTATTAATGGTGATGCTAACTTTGATCTGTCAGGTTTCTATACGGTAAACTTACTATTTTTTCCCTTTCCATAATCTATTAGAAATCAGTCATTAAATTCAGCCCATCCTCAAGGGAAGGGGAATTAAGCGCCACCACCTGGAGGGAGGTGTATCAAATAATTTGTGGACATATGTTAAAATTACCACAGCAATTAATGCATACTTAAGAGAAGATACTTTGGTGCTATGCAAATATTCCATTTCTCCTTAAAGTTTCATCCACTAATTTTAGCATTTATCAGTGCCTGCAGCAATTATTACTGTGGCATACTAATGGTGATTCTCTATTTCATTCACTCTTTCTATATTTCTTATTTGGATTTTTTCTGTAAGGAAAATTTGTGCCTTCTCCACCATTTATTTATTTACTTATTTATTTACAGCAGCATGGACTCTTGCATAATTATATTTTAAAAAATGTTTTTTCTCCTTTTCTTTTTCTAAATTGAAATAGGGTCTCACTGTGTTGCCCAGTCTGGTCTTGAGCTCCTGGGTTCAAGTGATCCTCCCAACTCAGTCTCCCAAGCTGCTGAAATTATAGGTGTATGCCACTGCGCCTAGCTGAATATTTATATTTTGGGTTGTAACCAATACTACAGTTACTTATTTTGTTGTTCAAATTATTCCAGCTTTTGCCACTGAAATGGCTTTCAGGTTTGCTCCTATGTCCTTTTAATATGTCCCTTTATTTTTAGTTTTTGACCACTTTACTTTCTGGCACTAAAAGTTGCTACAGGTACAATTTGTATTTGTCTCTAGTATCAGCCATTTCTTCAAGAAGCCCTAGTTTCTTTTATTAGAACATGGTATTTAGAAACCTACATCTGAGCACTAGGTATGCTCATTGCTACTGAATGTCACCGCTCTTTGGCTCACTCAAGGATATATAGGCAGGGAACGTACATTTGTATATGAACTCATGTATAATTATTTCTGTATCTATAAATCTGCATGTGTATTAAAATAAACCTTTGTTTTTGCTAATATCTCCACATCTAACCCAGTACCACAGAGTTTACTATAGTCTTTTGCCCTTGCTTATTTGTAATGTTTTTTCTCCAACAGTGAGAAAACTGGCCTCTATTATCTACCATCTACAATTCATATATGTATTTTTTTCAATGCTATACATATAAAGTAGTTTCAGAATTGTGAACATGCAATCGTGTTTTAGACACTTTAAATTACTTTATTTTGGTTACTTATTGCAATGTTTGTTTTTGTATTTTTAAACCTATATCTAAATATCTCCACACACTTCAACAATCCTAGCCAATACCTTTTAGTGTGATTCTATACACAATCAAACCCATTTGACAGTCTATTTTATTTTTATCCTGGGTCATCTCTCCTTTAGCCCCTTGTTCTCTTGTTCCTTTGTAGAACAGGATGCCTTATTCATGGGTAAAGAAAACCCTTCAAAAGCTTCATCTGAAAGGGGTTTCTATGATCTGAATGTGTCCCCTAAAATTCATGTGTTGGAAACTTAATCTCCAATGCAATAGTGTTGGGAGATGCGGCCTCTTAGGTACTTAGGTCATAAGGGCTCCACCCTCAAGAATACATAAATGCCATTGTAAAAAATGCTTGTCAGATTGAGTTTGGCCAATTTTTCCCTTCCACATTCTGCTATGTGAAGATACAGCATTCCTCCCCTCTGAACCATACAGCCATCAAGATATCATCTTGGAAGCAGAGAGCAGACCTCATCAAACACCAAACCTGTCCGTGCCTTGATTGTGGACTTTCCAGCCTCCAGAACTCTAAGAAAATTAATTTCTTTTCTTGATATATTATTCATTCTTGAATATTTTGTTATAGCAGCATAAATGGACTAAGACAGCGTACTTAAAATAGAAATTATTTGGAAGTTTGCATGTCTGAAAATGTCTTTATTTTACATCTTTAGAATGTGAATTGTTGACTTTGTGGGGAGTTCTCTGCTTTTCTTAATCTTAAGATCAGTCCTGTAAAGGTTTGGCCAGCTCCTGTCCTATCGCCATGTTTTGATTCATTGGCTCTTACTTTTTACTATCAAACCCTAAAGAGTCAGTTTTAAGGAAAACAAATTTGGAAGATCAGATCTGCCTTCATATTTTAAATTAAGATAGTGATGTGTTCTTTTCCCTCAACAAAAAAAAACCTTTATAAAAATTTTCACCAGAGTTTTATACCCCAGTATTGCTTTTTATATATAATATCAACAAATATTTATTAAATAACTACAATAAACTCAGGAACTAAGGAAAATGTGAAAGAAGTATAAGATGTTTTCTAAGTTAAAGGATCTTACCATTTCCTTGAAGATCACGTGCATGGAATTTTAGAAATTCACATACAATATTATACACAAAGTCACTTTTAAGATATAGGCATTAGGGGTTACCAGGCTCAAAGAAGGTAGAAACACAAATAATAAACAACAACCTTTTCCTAGTTTAGCCAACCTTCACTGAAACAGTTCTAGTTCTAGTGGTCTTAATATCTTGTACTCAACGGCTCGACTTCAAGGGCTAAATGCATGTAATCTAGTTTTAAGATTAAAATGTAATATATACATATGTATATTGATATTCTTACAGCTGAAGGATTTTTTTTAATTTAGTAGAAACAGGTGTTTTAAAACCACGCATATAGAGATCAATTCCAGTGACCTTCACTAGCTAAAAACTAATTTCAAACATAAGACTTGTGACTTGGTACATCTTACAAAGGTTCTGCTTTGATGCTTACAGTCTAGGAGCTTGAGTGTCCTCTGCAGAAAGAGAGGCATTGCCTGAAGCTGAGCAGGGTGTACACTTGATGAAAATCAAACAATTACTCACAGATCCAAACATAGGGGTCAATTGTCCAGATGCCACATTAATTGTTAAAGCACATAGAGTCTTCTATTTCTTATGCGTCCAAAGAATCTTGTGTTTTGTTTATACTGGTTGAAATATCAATTATATTGCCCTTTCAATATGTGTTTTTTTGAAATGGTGAGATTAGCATAATACACTGGATTTCACATCATTTCATTTTCAAGCCCATTTTGCAGGCTTGGAAACAAAGAAATAACAGCAAAAGAGCTTGGGCTCAGCTGCAGCTCTGCAATCAGGAAGGATTGGCAGAACCCTGCCCACTCCAAGGACAGATCATCCTTTTACAGACCTTAGGGAAATCGGGGAAAAAAACAAAAACAAAAACAAAAACAAAAAAACTGTAGGCAGGGGGAGAGGAAAGGAGAGAGAAACAGGGAGGAGAGCCATGTCAGAGATTTACTTAAAGTTATTTCACTCAATGTGTAAATTCCTGTTTGTGAGGTTGCTTTTATGTCTAACCCGTATGACAATATGCATTATGATTATGACCTCTATGTTGCCCTCAAGTTTGCCTATGTACATACAATAAGCCCATTTCATGATAGATATATAAGGAAAAACTCTCCTGGAATATCATCCTATATAAAGCATTTAAGTTATTGTAATGTAGGTGAAATGAGTCAGTCTTTGAACGTACTGCTGAAATCTCTACTCCTACCAGTAACCCCCACTGGCTGATGCTGAGGCATCTTGAGCATGGTAGTCCCTCATGGACATGATAACCACTTTTTCTTGCTTCACAAGAATGTCTTTTAACTTTATTAGAGGAGAAGATTTTTTGTATTCAACCAGAATGAGTTTAATTCACAATTAATGCTTAGTAATCAGTCCATGAACATTTTACTCATTTGCCCTAAAATATAGTCTATTAGATAATGAAAAGATATTTTTTGTCCTTCAGGAATCACCTCTTCATGACCTGCCTCTTGGCCTTAGAGAAAGCACTCTAAATGAAAGAGGGAGTTTCCTCATTTAATTTGATACGTCAGTTCATCATCAAAATATTTATTTCCTGATCTTCCCCCACAGAAGGTGACTAAAGGTTAATAAGAATGCAAGTGGAAAATAATTAAGGATGAAAACATATACAATAAAATGCAAAACAAATTTGAATAAATAAAGTTTAGTGTGATTGTTAGGTTAAGGTGTCTTGATACTTGATACTCCAATCATAAAGTGTGGGGTTTTTTCTTCTCTATTTTGAAGGACAGAAGCTTGATATGCCCAGTGAAACTCTTCCTTAGTGACACATCTAGGGAATAATTTAAAGAAAAAGTGATAACAACAGTAACTAATTATCTCAAAATTTCTAGAATCCTTTACTTTTACCAATGGATAATATAATAGACAGACAAATTTTACTGTCATTTTAATCATATATTTCTTTTAAATTATTTCCTAGTTTTAGTTTTCTTGGCTGTCATTTTAATCATATATCTCTTTTTAAATTATTTCCTAGTTTTCGTTTTCTTGGTGGAGGGAAGCTAGACTTTTTAAATCAGGTAAAAAAAAAACAAAAACAAATACAACAATGGCCAAAACAAAATAGCAAATTTGCTTCTCTTTGACATAAAATAAATCAAGAGGGAGGTAATCCAGAGTGAATGTGCAGAGCAGCCTCATGAAAACTCAGGAACCCAGAATCCTGTTTTGCTTTTACTGTGGTTTGCAGCATGGCCCTTTAGCTTCCTCAGTCTCTGTGTGGCTGCTCAAGCGCCAGCCTTCGGAGCAGCACGCCATGCTACATTCTATCCAGCAGGAAAGAACAAGACGGAAGCTAAAAAGGGGGTGGCATCTCCCTTGAGGAAAAGTTCATGGAAATTATAAACATTTCCAATTAGTCCTATTGGTCAAATGTATTCGTCTCTAACACAAGGGAGACTGGGGGATTTAGTTTTAGAGATGGTCCAGGTAAAAATTAGGCATTGCTATTATCAAGGAGGAAAGAGAGAACAGACACTAGGTAACAGCTTGTGCTCTCTAACATGCTAGAGCTGTTTGTGTGATGGAAAGCGTATTATGTGGTAAAAAGATTCTTTTATGTAGATTTTATAATTGTTATAAGGAAAAGCTGGTCGAGCACTGTGGCTCACACTGTAATCCCAGTGCTTTGGGAAGTGTAGATGGGTGCATTGCTTGATCCCAGGATTCTGAGACCAGCTTAGGTGACATAGCCAGACCCTTCAAAAAAAAAAAAACTAAAAAAAATTAAAAAGTTAGCCTGGCATGGTAGTGTGATCATGCTACCCAGCTACCCAGGAGGCTGAGTTTGAAGGATAGCTTGAGCCTGGGAGGTCAAGGCTGCAGTGAGCTGCAATTGTACTACTGTACTCCAGCCTGGGTGACAGAGTGAGAACTTGTCTCAAAAAAAGAAAAAAGGTTCATATGGCTGTGTATATTGTGCTTCAGTCTATGAAGATATCTAAGAAATGAGTAGCAGCAGTGCTACTTTTATCTAAAATTATAAAACTCAATCAATATATATACATGTTCAGATCAACTGAAAACTCAATGACCATGATAAAAATAGATTAAAAACATGTCAGCCCCCTTAATTTTCAGTGAATCATAAACACTAGTAGTTTCCCCACCAATGCCAACCTTGGATGCTGAGAGCTTTGAAAATAATTAAAAGTTAGATGAATTCAGGTTTAAGAGACTCTCACCTGAGAACAAAATGGTTCTAGCTTTAAACTATTCTTTAAAAGTATAATAAAATAAATGTCACCCATAAAAGAATGTGTTTTTTGTTTTGTTTTGTTTTGTTGGTGAAGCTTCTTGGACATCAAACAAGCTTTTTGAAGCATCCTGAATAATTGAGCGTAGATTAATAAAAATATGTGAATTGAACTGCCCTTAAAATGCATAGGCTTAAGAAAGGAAAAAAGCTGAGCAAAATAGATGTGAGATCCACCTAAAATCAAAATGTTTTCTGAAAGCTCCCTATGGAAAGTGTGTGTTGCTCTGCTTCATCTACTCCCTCACGTTTGCACTCCTAGCAAATGTTTATGTAGGACCTTTGATTAACCAGGCTGTTTTCTAGGACCTAGGGACCGCAGCAAAGGAGACATGGGATTTATAATCCTGCAGGAGGACGGAGCCTAAATAAGTAATTAACTGCAGTTGTAATTAATTACAAAAGAGACACATAGGGTGTAAGGAGAACATATGAAAATACATAACAATGTAAAAGATTTGGGACAAAACACTTAGAAAACACTGATTAGGAACAGCATGAAGTTGATGAAATGAATGTATTTACAATCATGAGCTCATTGCAGACTTTATGCTTAAGTTGAAGACACTATGAAAAGTGAAAATAGTAAACTGATGATTCTTGTTACAGTGAAAAACTTAAGACTAGACTTCTGCAATCAGTTTGCATCACTCCAGATTTCTTTATGTCTATACTCACAAAAGAAAATTTTAGGAAGTTAGAAAGTGAAGAGACCATAGTCAGAAGAATAATTTCTTAAGGCCCTATTTCCCTCTTTGACCAATAATTTCACAATAATTTGTTTATTTAACTTTACAATATAGTTAAAACATGTTTCCTTTTATTATAAAAATAAGAATTATACATTTTTGCCTTAGCTAGTAGTGAACATAAAATGATCTTGACTTTTAAAGCCAACTTTTTTCTTTCCCCAACTTTTCCCCTAGATCACTAATTCATATAGAGTCAGCAAGTGCCCCAGAGAAAAACTCCAGAATTATAAAAAAAGAGGCATATTTCCCTTCAGAAAAATCAAACCTAGAATGTTTAGCTATTAAAGTGTTTTTCCCACCTAGCTTCAGATCAGGTGACTTCACTACGGGGGCTCAGGAAGGGGCAGTCTCCCTCTTTCCAAATCACCCCATCACAGAATACCTATTGCTAAGTAGCATACCAGAGATTTAGATGAGGTGCCCCATAAGAGCAGACTTCAAAGTATTCAGAACTTCAAGTCTGGCCTATGGTAGAAAAAATTTAAGGGAGACAAAATGAGTACATCAGGACCACTTACTCCAAATCCACACTCTGCAAGACAGTCCAAGGAAAAAAAGGCAAAGTATCTGTCCACCTCAAGGCTAGGGGCCCCACAGCAGTTAGCAGGCGTCCCCAGGTGTAAATGCTTCCCATGGCATGTTTTCTCCCTATCTCCCAGGTCAGGCACAGTGGTGCCAAGGCTCTTTCAGTCATCAACACTCTCAACTCTCAACTCAATTTCCAACAATGACACCAGCTTAATTCTTCCTTTATCATCTAGGTAAAACTATCCTTTCCCTATAAAGTCTACTATGTCTGGTCTAGTTTCAGAAAATATAAACACATTGAAAATAAAAAATGAAATTTTAAAAATAAAAGATGATGCAGGGGCCTAAAACCATGGACAAGGTGGTCAACAACGTCGCGTATATGCCCCCCAACTCACTCTCCCTAGAGGAATGCTTAGGAAGGCATAGACAGCCACTGCAAGGCTGCCCCAAGTTTACATGTCATTGTAGCCTAACAGTTATTTGAAACAGAAACCTAACCCAACCACACTTGGGATGTTCTCTTCAAAGGAATCCCAACTGTTTTCGGCAAAAAAATTTCTGTGCAAGTCAGCCCCAGCTGGGAAGGTGGTGCCGTGCTGGGGACGTGGTTCTTCCAAGCAGCAGAGTGATATTTGGAGATTAATATTGAAAGCTGTGCTTAATCTGGATATCATCAAGAATCTGATGCAGCTTCTCATCTTCAAACAACCACGCCAGGTTTAGGATTAGGGCTTTGGACTCCTCAACAGTCTCTGGGAAAAGGCTGACCTCTTGGCAAAGGTTGGCCAAACAGCTCAAACTTACGAAGATTTTTCTCTGGAGCATCAAGCTACAAACACTGGCAATGGTCTCTCTGTTTGGGGAATGACTAAAACTGGCTGTCTAGGTTAATGTTTTCATGAAGACCTCTGAGGGTTCCTGTTCATCCTCTGCACTCTCATTCTGTTGTTTTTGCTGCTCCAGAAGCATAGAAACTTCTGCATTTAGAGGCGGCTCAGCTGCTTCAAACTCTTTTTTTTTTTTTAATTTTTTATTTTTTAGACAGGGTCTCGCTCTGTCACCAGGCTGGAGTGCAGTGGAAGGATCTCAGCTCACTGCAGCCTCAGCCTCCTGCGCTCAAGCAATCTTTCCACTTCAGACCCCAGAGTAGCTGGGACCACAGGCATGTGCCACCAGCTAAATTTTTTTGTGTTTTTTTTGACAGGGTTTCATCATGTTGTCCAGGCTAGTCTTGAATTCCTGATCTCAAGCCATCCACCTGCCTCAGCCTCCCAAAGTGCTGGTATTACAGGTATGAGCCACTGTGCTTGGCCTACTCTTTGGGAAAGATGTGTTGTGAGGCATCCTCCCCTACATTATGCCAATTCTTTGTTTTTGTAAGACTCAAATATAAGTCTAAGGAAGTCTCCCCACAATATTTTACTTTGGTATTTAATAGAGCAAGGAGGAATCATTGTTTTGCTGGATATTTTATCAGTTATCAATCAAAATTTAAATGATCATAAATTGAACAGCATAGTGATGGTCTTTAAGGAGAGAGGGTGTAAGGAGGGAAAGCCTGCTGAGTTACCAAAGACAAAGGCTCAGAGATAACATTCAGCTTTACATTTACAACTCACCAAAAATGTAATATTTTGTTGAACTTGATCTCAGATTATTTGAAACAAATAAATAAGATTCAATACCTGTTAAATTTTACTTTTTTCAAATTACATGCAATCTAAATTTTTTTGTTTCACTCCCATCCTCAAAATTATTTGTCATTATTACTAGAGTTTAGTATAGTAATAAATCAAGATAATAATGTTATTTATCAAAATATAACTGGGATGGTTTTCCAGCTTTTACCTCAGAGACAGAAATACTTTGGGCATAGAAGGCAATCATAATTATTGATGTTACCCTATTTGACACAAATAAAAAACTCATATAATGACAAAGTGGGAAACAGAGAGTAAATTGAACCCTGGACACAAAACAAGAGTCTGAAAAGAAGGAGAAGAATAATTCTCAGAGCTATAGAAGGAACTAGAGAATTGACTCAAGGCCAGAGAACTAGTAATCTATAAACCCAATATCAGACTATGAGTGCCACATGTGTGGGGGAGGGAAGGTGAGTGTTACAGATACAGGAGAGCAGACATGTAAGGCCATAAATATTGGCTGCAAACTCCAAGGGGTACCATTCGCATAGAGTGATGGGTGAAGCAAACACCCTCCACAATTTTGATAGTGTCCTCAAGCCTATCAATTATCTTCCTAATTTTTTTGTTGTTACAGATTAAGAGTGCAGGTGCAATTTTGTTACATGGACACCTAGTGTAATGGTAATTTTGTTACATGGACATCTTGTGTAATAGTATACATCGTACTCATCAGGTAATTTATTTTCCCTCAATACCCTCCTATTCTCCCACTTTTTGAGTCTCCAGTGTCTATTAATCCACTTTCTATGTCAACGTGTACACATTATCTAGCTCCCCATATAAGTGAGAACTTTCAGTACTTGACCTTCTGTTTCTGAGTTATTTCACTTAAAATAGTGGTCTTCAGTTCCTACATGTTGTTGCAAAAGACATGATTTCATTCCTTTTTATGCCTGAGTAGTATTCCCTGGTATATAACACTATCTTTTCTTTATCCAATCATTCATTGATGGACACTTAGTTTGATCCCATATCTTTGTTAATGTTAATAATGCTGTGATAAACCCATGAGTATAGGTATCTTTTTGATATAATGATTTGTTTTCCTTTGGGTAGATATCCAATAGTGCAACTGCTGGGTGGAATGATTGTTTTATTTTTAGTAATTTGAGAAATCTGCATACTGTTTTCCACAGAGGCTGTACTAATTGACATTCCCACCAACAATACATAAGTGTTTCTTTTTCTCTGCATCCTCTCCACCACCTGTTATTTGTTGACTTTTCAATCATAGCCATTCTCATGTTGCAAGTTGGTATCTCACTATGGTTTTAATTTGCATTTCTCTGATGTTTAGTCATGTTGAGCATTTTTTGTATATGCTTATTGGCCATATGTTTGTCTTCATTTGAAAAATGTCTGTTCATGTCCTTTGCCCACTTTTTAGAGGGGTTATTTGCTTTTTTTTTTTTTTCTCATTGAGTTTTTTGGCTTCCTTAAAGATGCTGGATATTAGTTCATTGTTGGATGCACAGTGTGCAAATATTTTATCCTATACATATTCTAAAGGTCATCTGTTCAGTCTGTTGATTTTTTTTCTATGCAGAAGCTTTTTAGTTTAATTATGTCCTATTAATCTATTTTTGTCTTTGTTGCATTTGCTTCTGAGGCCTTGTCATGAATTCTTTGCCTAAGTCAATGTCTAGAGGAGTTTTTCCTAGGTTTTCTTCTAGAACTATTATAGTTTCAAGTCTTACATGTAAGTCTTTACTCCATCTTACATTGATTTTTATATATGGTGAAAGGTAGGGGTCCAATTTCATTCTTCTGCATATGGCTATCCAATTTTCTTTTTCTTTTTTTTTTGAGACGGAGTCTCGCTCTGTCGCCCAGGCTGGAGTGCAGTGGCGCAATCTCGGCTCACTGCAAGCTCCACCTCTCAGGTTCACGCCATTCTCCTGCCTCAGCCTCCAGAGTAGCTGGGACTACAGGCGCCTGCCACCATGCCCAACTAAGTTTTTTTCTTTTTTTAGTGGAGACGGGGTTTCACCGTGTTAGCCAGGATGGTCTCGATCTCCTGACCTCGTGATCCACCCACCTCAGTCTCCCGAAGTGCTGGGATTATAGGCATGAGCCATCGAGCCCAGCCAGCTATCCAATTTTCTAAGCATCATGTATTGAATGGGTTCTTACCTCAGTGTCTATTTGCCAACTTTTTTGAATATCAGTTGGCTGTAGATACACAGCTTATTTCTGGGTTCTCTATTCTGTTCCTATTGATATATATGTCTATTTTTATACATTTTTCAAAAGGAATGCTATGCTCTTTTGATTACCATAGCCTTATAGTATAATTTGAAGACAGGTAATATGATGCCTCCAGTTTTGATCTTTTTACTTAGGATTGCTTTGGTATTTGGGATCCTTTTTGGTTCCATATGAATTTCAATATTGTTTTTTCTCATTCTGTGAAAAATGATGTTGGCATTTTGATAGAAATTGCATTGATTCTGTAGATTGTCAAGCTTGTCAATTATTAAAGTTGAAGGCAGCTTCCTGCTTTGAGAGTAACAGAGGCAAGAAGGATGTGCAATGTAACAAGCAAAGCAGGTATTAAGGGTTTCAGAAGCAGTACAAACTGTTTTTTTTTTCCAACATAGCTTCTAGTGATAAACTAGAGAGAGACATTAGGATATCCATCTTAGCCTTATATCCGGGATATAATCTTTCCTTTATCAGTGAAACACTCCAGGAGAGGTAATGGCTCTGACTGGAGAATACTAGAAAATCTAAGCTAGAATCTTGATCAAAAGCCCATTTATAAGAAGTATAGTTGAAAAAAATTGAATGACTCAATCCCATCTACATTTTTCCAGGCAGAAGTCTGTGCACTGGAACTTCATTGTTTGGCTCTTGGATGAATATGGTTTCTATCAAACCATAAGTCAACATTTACAGACGTTACAAACAGCCAAGAGGAATTTGTTATTCCTGCCGGTAGAGAAATTTTTGGAACTGTATGAAAAGAAAACTCTCAGGTTCGGATTTACAAAATGCTCTGCTTCTCACAAAAGATCACAGTGCATTTATTTTATGGACCCTGAGAAATGTAAAGCTAATCACATTTCTTTCTTTGCACTGACTTCTGGGCAGGTCAAACTACATTTGTCTTCACCTCTAGCAAATGTAGAGGTTAGAGAAAATCCATTTCTACATACTTGCCTAGCCTATAGCTTTAATGATATTTTACCTAATTTTTTTTTTTTGCTCCAATTGCTTCAACCAGTTCTTTACCATTTAGTGTTGTATTATTGTAAACTATTCCAAATTATTCATTAATTAGGGTGAAATATAAATAAATCCATGATTAAAGAGATGTAGGGCTTCTCCATAAATGACCTAAATACAATAAAGCTCAATTAAGTTATCAGTTTACATCTCAATGTCCATAGAAAGGAAGATATTATTATTTATTTTATTTAATATGTTAATTTTTTCTTCCATTTAAAAGTGACAATAATAAGGGCCAGGGCGGTGGCTCATGCCTGTAATCCCAGTACCTTGGGAGGCCGAGGTGGGCGGATCAGGAGGTCAGGAGTTCAAGACCATCCTGGTCAATATGGTGAAACCTTGTCTCTACTAAAAATACAAAAATTAGCCGGGAGTGGTGGCATGCGCCTGTAATCCCAGCTACTCAGGAGGCTAAGGCAGGAGAAGCACTGGAACCTGGGAGGCAGAGGTTGCAGTGAGCTGAGGTCGCACCACTGCACTCCAGCCTGGGCAATGGAGTGAGACTCCATCTCAAAAAAAAAAAGACATAATAATAAATTACGTATGTACAGGTCCACAGCATCTTATCACAATTCAAAAATGCAAAATAGTCTAAAAACATTTTTTTTCTGTTTACAACCAGTTTAGCACAAAATATGACCTGATTTGACATGAGACTAAAATACTTAATTTATCTCAAGCAGTAGGAACATTCTTAACTTTCTCCAAGCGATAGAATGTGTTTGATTATAGCATGCTGTCCCAGGTCCGGTACTATGTCATATATGGTAGATGCACACCATTCACTTCATATAATTAGAAAAATTAAGACTTCTAATACACATCAGATTTCAGGTAAGAGACTGTGGACTTGTACAAACACATGGAATATTATCTGTAAAGTTTCTGAAGACCACTCTTGTCACATGTGCAAAGCTGCTGCTGTTACCTTCACCCACCACCCCACTTCATTTGTTTTGTTTTGTTTTTTAGTCATGATAATTTCTTGATAAGCAAAAGAAAGAATGTCAACTTTTTTCAACTTTCAGGGTAATTTGTTCTTCTCTAGTTTTACAGATTTAAAGACCACATAACTTTCAGTACCCATAAATATATTGTACTTAACTTCTCACTATGAAAGGGTATACCCCATTGCTTCTATTCTGGTCATGAGATATGTGGCCCAATGTAGTTCAATCAGTCCAGTCAAATATAGACCATAGAGAAATAGAAATTCCATCACAAGCCATAAAACAGAGGTCCTTTTGTGATGAATTAGAAATATTCAACTAATGCTATCAACAATTAGTTTTCTGAAAAATTACAGTAATCTATAAGAAAACACAGCAGGGCATAATAAAAGTCATTAAACTAGGAATAGACAGCTTCTAAGAAGTTCTGACTGGCATTAAGAAGTGCCAATTCTTTACTTCTAGCTTATGGTTGGAGTGGTATCTTCATAATGGAGATATAACTTGTATTTTTTAAAAAAGACTTAAAACTTTTCAATTACTTCTGTATGCCAAATCTGTACATAGCACTTTACAATCATTGTCTCATTTAATCCTTATATGATGCTCGAGATAGATATCATTTGCACTCCAGCAGTAAAGAAACAGGCTTAGAAAAGTCATCCAGCTAATAAGTAAGACGCTATTTTTAGGTTCAAGTCATTGTGTCCTCCCCATAGTCATTATGTTATGCTGGATTTGTTTACCTTTGCCTTGGCATCTTTCAATAAAGAAATGAAAAGCAGTGGACAGAGAGGGAAAATGTTGGTAGAACTGTGCTCACACAGCTGGCTATTGTTCTATCTTTCTAAATAACGTATTTTGCTATTGTCTTGTGTCCCTAAGAAGAGCATGTAATATGGTATGGAGGGTAGAAAAATATTTACTGATAGAGGGGTAACAAATAGGTATCTGGTAATTTCAGAAGTTGGATCTGGTAGACAGCAAGTGGAGTTTGGGGTGCATTGAGTAAAAGCACAAGAAATGTGATTTTATTTATGTATCACAGGCTACAGCACAGGGAGAGTACACCGTTGCTGATGCTACAGATTGGTTCACTTAGCTCTCACTCTCAAATTCCTACTCCTACATCCTCCTTCACTGTAGAGGCTGGAAAGCGAAGTACTTTGTTTCCTTGTCTCCCTTGTAATTAAAGGTACACATGTGACCCAGTTTTGGCTAGTGTGAGGTTAAGTGGAAGTCTACTGGGGAAAGCTTCTCTTTGTAGCTAAAAAGACAAACTTCCTAAGGGGAAAGATACTCACTTTCTCAACTTCTTTTTTACTTGCCTAAATGTGTAGTAAGCATGTTGTGACTAAAAGTATCACAGAAAGGCTGGCCAGCTGCCACCTTCTTCCACAACCTCTTCTGTGTTGACAATTTTGGTCAGTTATTTGGTTTCTTGCAGTCCCAGCCATTCTTAATTAATACATGTGTTATTTTATCTTTCTTCATTTCCACCAGCTACACTCTATGCCTTGAATGTAGTTTCAGAAGTATGTAACATTAAAGGTGGTATGATTTCACGTTGGCAATTCCCAGTTCCCCATGAACTGTGTGCAGTTCTGTTTTAGAAACAATAAGCAGTTCATCTTACCCCAGACATGCCTGGGCCACCCACCTTTCTGTGCCTTTGCTTAATGCCATTGTTTCTGCTGGAAACTTTCAAGGTCCTTCTGAAGTGTCACCCCTACTGTGTGAAGTTTTTCTCCAGTTCTCTCAGGACTCTCAACGGGTTCACATCTCTCCCCAACATTCTTTATTCTTTTATTATACCTCTGACTCTTTGTATTGTAATCATGCAATTTACCCAAGTGTTTCTACCACTATACTGTGAGCTATTAGAGGTCAGGAATTATGTCATATGTGTCAGGCACACAAAAGATAATAAATATTTTGTTCAATTTCTAAATTGATTAATTTCTTCCTCAATTTGAACTCCCTTGAAACTTTATTTTTACCTCTCATTGGCACGTATCATTTACTTTTCTTATGGCAAAACTAAATAATGGGCTACTTGGAGGCAAGAATTATATCTCACTCATCTTTGTGTCCTATATATACTTTTAAGCTAAATTTATATTCCATGAATTGAATTGGACAGTTAATAGTTAATACATTAAGCATATCTCAGTCATGTTAGTTGCTACTTCCCCTGTGGTGGGTGGGGCGGTTGGGGAGGAAGACGGTATAGGAGATGAACTGTAACTAGCCAGTTCACTGAAGGAGTTTTTAAAAATCTTTCCTATTTAAGTCAAAACTGAAAAATTAATTTGCTGTAAAAGAAAAACCCAGATCACATATTCCCTGATTCAGAAGTGTTTGAAGGATGTAAAAGAAGAATCTGTTTTCAAGAACTTTCGTTTCCTCTCTCTAGTAGTCAATCCAATTCAAGTGCAATTTAATAAGTTAATTGCAATGTGTGATTGACAGAGGCAGGGGACAATGTCTGATGTGAGGACTTCTCTATAAAAAATTATGATAATAACTAAGGATCCTATTATTTCATTAAGGACTCTATGTCTTGGCTGATGCACAGCAAGACTTTTCAGAATCTACCTTAGAAGTGATTGATATCAAGGCTGTGTTCATCCCTTACGTCACCAAACCGGGAATGGAGAGAATGTCGATCAGGATCAGTTTGAACTCTTGAGAGTCTAACAGTTTAAGACGGAGACAGTATCACTGGAAATCTGCTTGAAGCTGTCGCTTTTCCTGCCAGAGTTATTTAGGAGCTAAAGAATAAGAAGTAAGCAATTATGAGATTCACTAGATGTTAAAAACATAAGAAAGCATTTTCCATAACAAATATACAAAAACCAGAAAAGGGGTGGAGGAGAATCTTCATTATGTAATAAAAATGAATTCAGAATAATTTAAGTTTAAGAAAATGCATAAATACTGTTTTTCAAAAGAATTATCTTTCTGGAAACCAAACGGCTTAATTTTTAAGTATTTTATCTCTGAAATAAGAAATTAAAATAAAGCAATATATTACGAATGCATTTATATATTTCAAAACATGTTGTATATGATAAATACAAGCAATTTTTTCAAAAGAATGCATTTATATATTTTTAAATGTCAGATAATGAGCTAAAATAATTTAGACTTTAATACATGCTCTTTTTAAAAATTTTAAACTTACATTTATTATTTAAATAGTTGGCAACTTTAAAATCAATATTCCTGAAGTAATTTTATCTTGTGTATTAATTTTTAATAAAATGTTAAAAGGTGGAATATCTTTTAAATGTTAACATTTTATAAAGAGAGAATTTAAGAAAACAATTTATTGAATATAAAATGATTGCAGAACATAAAAAGATTTTCAACACATTAAAGTATTTTTCATTAAAATAAGAGGAAAAATCATGTTGAGTGGTACTTAAATTTAAAATTGAATAGTGATATCAAAAAACTTTCCAAAAAGGGGGAAATAATTCACCCTTCATTATGCAGCAAGATAGTTTCCTGTTCATCTAACCTAAACATTTACAGTAACTGATTTATTCACCGTTGAAAATCACATCTATTGCAGTTCAGATAATTTCTCTGCATTAGGAAAATGAATAAATTAAAAGTGTGCTTCAGCAATTTAGTCCTCTTAGCAGATATTCTGCAAGCTTGGTAGAAGATGTCAAAACCTGCTGATATCTAACAGAGTCAACTCCAAGTTTGTGTATCCCAGTCCATTCTACCTTTCCATCAGGCAGTACATGTGGAAATAGAAAAGCAGCTCTCTAATTAATCAAAGTCAGATGTGCCTGAACGCCTGGAGTTGCTGCTGATCCTTGTCCCAGCTTCTCCCATGTTCTCGCTCTATGTTTTTACCTTGAAAACTTCTGCTCTGAGCTGGGAATGCCTGAAGGGCTTGCACGGTAAGTCAATGTGAAATTATCTCAGCAGGAAGAAGTTGCTTTTCAGCTTAAATGATTTAAGGCAGCAATTTTTCACACTCTCAAACTCTGACAAACGCCCAGATTGCCTCTCATGTCTGACTTCAAAATATTCAAAGAAAAGCTATTTTTATTAAAAACACTCTAGAGAAAATTGTATGTCACTTGTTCTCTGATATAACTTCATTTCTCCTGACAGTGACAATTTTCACCTCAGTACAATTTCTTTATTTTTTCCAAAGCTAATTCTGCTTAATATTAGTATTTATACAAACTCATATCAACTTGTCTCTGTGAAATATTCAAGGGTGTCAGGTAAACGTTGCTCACTGTCATTCATCTTCTTTGGGTGTTCAAAATGATCAATCGATTTAAAACTACACTTAGTTACTTTGGATATTATTGTTTTATTTGTAAGGGAGAACTTAACAACTGTTAAAACCCTTCATTTGACAAACCTGTGTCTGCAAACTGCAAGGAATTCCAAAGTTGATGGCACGTGTCTGTTGCCAAAGATTGTAAAAGTTTACATTAAGAAATCTATTTGTTCTGTGCCTTTAAATAAAGCGGGTAATACAGTGCATGTTTTGTCTTATGCTGCTTACATGTTAATAAGATTATGGTGGATGTCATATTGCACTGAAACATCACATTTGCTTTATTATGAATGCTGGCAGTGCAGAAACATCACATTATAATCACTTCAAAAAAGAAATATATTCTGCATATTTTCATGTGTGTTTATAATTCCACTAAACCTCAGCAGAATCAAACTCAGTAGGGACAAGAATGACAGAAGGTTTAATGTTCCAGAGACTGCTAAAATCTTGGTGCATTGATATATAGCAGAATGGTTAGTATGTATAAGGTTACTTGTGGCCAGTGACCTCAAAGCATATCTTCTGGCCTTATCGAATTTCCATGAGAAAAAGTAACTACTGGCATGTAAATTTTCCACAAATAATTTGGAGGTTTTTTAAACGGTTAATTTTATTTTTAACTGTGAAAGCCTGAAGTGTTTATAAACATATGAGAGGTAATAATTTGTATCATCCAGGTATCTTAACAATGGAGCAAACTCCATTTTAAATAAATGCATCAATTTCCTACAGGTATGCCTTTTATACCTCATTAAATGTTTCATTTCTAAATAAAACTGGATCATTTTTATTTCATTAATATCTGGTACGAAAAATCGAAAAAAGATTACCTTGCAGCTGCCTTTTACACACAGTGCTGGGGTCGGGTCAAAGGAAGTACATCAAATACAGCAGAGAAATACATTTCATAAATTTCAATGTTATGACAATGCCAAACACAGATTCTATACCAACACCCTGCCTAAGAAGTTACCATCTTTTTCTGCCTTTAACTTGCAGCATATTTTCTGTTTGGAAGCCACAACTATTTTGATTTTACTTAGCTTCCTTGGATTTTATTTATCATACTTAGCTTCCTTGGATTTTATTTATCATATTCCCTCTCTGATGGGAAAACTGAAGTTTTAAGACATACTTAAACATAACAACATCTTTCAATATTAAAGAATTGTAAAGATAATTTGTGGATACATGATGAAATCTGTGAATAATCGGTAGCTTAAATTAAACAATTATTTAAAAGCCAAAAATTTACTGGTAAAACAACTTTACACACACACACACACACACAAGATTGACTGTATGGGTTAAAATTTACTTGGCATTTAAAAAAATACGATTTTGTAATAAAAATGTGCATACTAAGTATATTATGTCTTGCATTTTCAAAGGAAGATGTGCTGAAGTATAAGTGAGGATTTTTATTTTTAATAAAAGCAAAACACTGATAAATTCACAGTTATATCCGTGTACTGGTTCATTAATGCTTTGCTTCTATTTTGCAATATATCCATACAAGTGGAAGAAAATATAGAATATGCTTTCTAATTAAAATACTTTATCTCATTGTATAGTTTGCTATGGGTAAATAACAATTGTTTATCTGAAATATAATTATCTTAGCTATATACAAATAAGATTGTTATTGACCCAAAGAAATACCTTGTATTAAGCTTTAGACTTTGAAAACATTTTAAAACTATGTCATTCTATGATGTTATTATTTAGACAATTCTATTATTTCACAAAAGCACCTAACTTGCCAATTTAAGATCCCATAAGAATCATAATTTACAATTGCTCATCAAAATAAATATTTCACTCTCTACACAGGACTTTATAAATGATAATGAGTTATATAAAATTATTGAAATAAGTGAAATTATGCTTGTATTCATTATCAATTTATGTATAGATATAAATATATAGATATCTAGCATTGTACTCTTTTTTTACCAAAACCATTCAGTCAAGTATATTTAATGTTTTGTTTCAATTATTTTTAAAAAATTAATGATTTGTTACTTAAACTTATGTCCGCTTTTTTCTTTCTTCACAGTATACTTAAACGCTGAGGTGTTTAAATAATTTTTTATAAAATATTTAAAGCATTCATTGTTTTAGTAAAAATTGGAAATCGGATAGAACACACACACAACCACACATATGCCCCTTATATTTAGATTGAGAAATAATTCAGAAAAACCACTTTAGCAATCTTTGGAGCATACCTTTGTTACTGAGTCTAGTCTAAACATTTTTGTAATACAAAAAAAATTATCTGGACTTTTTCAATGTGATCTATGCCAAGAAATCAAGGAAAGTGATAAAAGCTGGAAGAGAGAGTGTGCATTAGTGAATATTTATATTGGCAAGACCTGAGAATTTTATAAAAGTAAAACAAACACAGAGGTTGCTTATTTCTGAAAGGAAATCTGTCTCACTGAATTTCTTTCAAGAAAACATAATTGCCCAAAATGATATAAATCACTATTGCTATCTCTAACAAATTAACTTGAAATGCTGGCAATGCCAAGGAGCAACATTAAGTTTTCTCTTGTTTACTTTGTCCTAATCACCATAAAAATCCTTAGTGAAACAATTATTCTTAAAACAATCACGACAATATATCTCTATAAAGGAGAAAATCGATTTAACAACAAAACTAGATTTATCACTATTGATCAAGAGGTGTTCAATGTAATTTTAGTGAATTATGCCTAGCTCTCTTTACTCACAGAAATTTTTCAGTGACGCTTGAAAGGCAGATTGCAGATGACTGCATAATCTTTTGCATGCTATTTACTTGCTATCTTAATCACTACTCTTATAAAATATATGGGACACTGAACCAAATATTTATTTTCTATGATGTGAAGCAGCATTACTATTGCATGCGGCTTAGTTGATAGTACTTACCTAGGAACCTGATGTCATTTTTTTTTTCAATTCATTAGTTAAAGAAATCAGGTCTCCATAAAAGGATTCAGTGTTAAAGAAACAAATCCAAGTTCACCTTATGAGAACAGAATTAGAAAGATTAAGAAGTAATATGATTTTTTCTTCTTAAATAAGAATAATTTTTAAAGATACTATTAACACTTTCATATCTAAAACTTCTTTGAAAACAGGAAGGAAACAAAAAAGAATTAGAGAAAGATTTTCAAAAATTTAGTTATTCTGTGCTGTATGCCATATAAACTGTATATCTCATTTTGAGAGAAATATTAAAAATGAGTGTCCTAAAAATATCTCAGAGATAATATTTGTTGTCCACTTAAATACATAGCTAAATGAGTCATTCTGACTTATATTCCTTTCAACAGTAAAAAAAAAGCTCTGTATTTTGTCCATGTGTCCTCAGAATGTTTTTTGATCTGAATTACTGCATATTTCTTCCTTCTGCTGGAAGAACTAGACATTTTTATAAATAAAACAGCTCTTATTTAGAAAAAGTGAATAATACATGCATTTTCATATAAAAAAGTTAAACAAGGAATATGCCTAAACATATAGCTGAAAGATTTTTCCTTGTAAATCTCAAATTAAATTTTAATCAATCTATAAAATAGTGTTATTATTCTCTAGATTGCCTTTTCTTATTTTTAAGTCATGATTTTTACTTTTATGATAATGTGCTTGCTAATCAAATAGATGATAATACACGGTTAAGTTACCAATGTAAAACACTAGGTGTTTTACTGTTTTTAAAATTTAGATTCTCAAATTTATGTCAACTGAGTTACTGTTACCATGTATTTTTGACAAAGTTCAAGCTGAATAGATGTTCAAAAAGTGTAAAATAACTTTTACTTATTTTGTTAAATTAATTATAAATCAATTGCTATATTCCACTAGACTTAAAGATATCAATGGTGTTTATGCAGTCATGCTAAGTAGTATTGACATAGGAAACTGTTATATTCAATTCTAACTATATTTACAAAAACTTTAGTTACATAAACTTGATTCTAACATTAAAGCAAAACAGTTTCAGATATAAGAAAGAAAACGAATTCCTAGCATTCAAATAACATTCTATTATAATATGAAATAATCATTCTTTTAAAACCGTCAAACCATTAATTAAAGAAAAATAAACACAATATGAGTTTAGAACATTAAATATGAAATACAGAAATACTTTCATTGAAAATTGATACGTAAAAGTCATCTAAACTTGCAAAAATACTTTGAAATCAATTCTATAGTTATAGGTAGATTATAATCATATTCATTTGTAACTCTTTGTTCTCAGTCTATTAACACGAACGTAAATGTATGTTAGTAGTTATTATTGTAATACTAAACTATAACTGCCACATTGGATAAGTAAAACTTTCAGCAATATAATTTTGAATTGATTTTCACATAATTTGAAGGGCTAATCATGGATATTACATTTTAGTCACTTCCTGTTATATGCATTTAATCTTATTATTTTATAGAAAGGTAAACATTATCAAACACAAGTAAATTGAACTACTTGTATACATTATGTTTCTATGAATAAAAATTGAAAATACCTAGAGCTTTCAGTGAAAGAAGTAGTTCTTAAAATGAATTTTAATAAACCAATAAAATAATGTTATTGTTCAATAGGTAATAATTGCCTTTATATAAACTCAAAAATATTGTTTAGAGTGATTAATATACAATGCTCCATTATGCATCTGGGAGTGTTGATGCATAATTTTTAGTTCTAATGTTATTATGTAATTGAGAGAACATGTTCATTTGCTGTAATAACTACTAAGATGCACTTAATAAAATGAAATGTAATAATACTTGTAATTTAATCTATTCATGGAAGTAATTTTAAAAGTCTACCACTCTCCTTAATGTGGATAACATTCATAATTTATAAAGTGTTGTGATGCAGAATTGACAATGCCATTGTTTTTTACACTTTGAGATGATTCTGCAGCTTTCATATCATCTGCATACCAACCTCAGGATTATCAAGGGCAAACAAAAGATAATTAACACCAGAAACAGGCAAATGCAGGAGCTACCGATTGAGGGTTCTCACTTAATGCAAGACTTCTGAAAACCAGAAAATGAAATAACTATAGAAAAGCTTATCTCTGAGAAAAAAAAAATTCAATATTCTATTCTTTATATGAGCCTTTTTATCCCAGTTTGTGAAGGTAACTTATCTGACAACATAGTCTGAGAGTGGTGTGGTCATCATCTATAACAGTTAGCAAAAGTAGTTTTTTAAAGAGTGAATTTCTAATTACATGCTTTATAATTATAGATTCTTTAATACCTGTTTTTATAATGAATGTATTTATTTATAATGTATAAGAAATAGAAAATGAACTATAAACTGCTGTGCCTTTTGTCATGTTTTCATGTTTGCAAGGTAGAGTACAATAAAAAAGGATTTTACACAATTAAACTATTTAAATTTTTGTTGCACTTTATGTAACACTATATGCAGATATTATATTGTGCTTAAATGGTGGTTACGATTTATCACAATCTTACAATTATTCATATGAAATTTTATTAGTGGCAGAGGAATATGCTATGTTAACCTTGATTATATGACTATCTTACTGGTTAAGCAGAATTATTTATATCTTCTAACTAAGTGCCCTTTAACTTTCCATAAATCATTACTATTAGCATGATTTACATATATAGGAATTTTTGCTTTCTAATACAACACAGAGCAACTATTAAATGTTTTAAAAATTGAACTTCTGAAGTTCTGAAATAATTATGAAACTAGGTTCAAAATAAATAAAATGATGTATTTCATAACAAATTCATATGAAAAATACATCTTCTAAATGTTAGACTTCTCTGATAAAGCATCATGTTATTAACAATTAGTTTTAACTGAAGTGGATGGGTTACTGACAAGCTTTGGAGTTTAGACTCATAAAAGAATCATATTTGAACATGGCTTTTTATCACATGGAGTTCTATATAACATGGATATAATCAGAGTTTCAGTCTTCTGGAAATAATTATGTATTGTAGATGTCTGATGTAATACAGTTGCTAGTTCATTTCCCAAATATCACCATTAAATGGGTATTCCATAAAACCTCTCCGTTGGCAACATGATTGAGAATACTTTATTTCCTTTTGAGTTAAGGCTTTTTTTCTTGTTTTATATTAATACCAACTATATGCTCAACTTTGAAAAGGATCCAAAAAAGATTTTATGTCAGACTTCGTTTAATTCAATTCTATGAATAACCTGGGCTAAATATACTATATGCTTACATTTTAAAATATCAAGTCATTGTCAATAAAAGGATACACAATTAAAAATAAATTCTTTTTATGCAGCATGATTGTTAAGAGAATCATTTTAGTCATATCTCAAACTTCTGTCTGCCAGCTTCTTTCTTCTGCACACATTTTTTTTTTCCTGTTGCTACATCCCAAGGCTCTATCTTTGGTCTTCTACTGATACAATGTATCTTCCCAGGCTTCCCATTCAATGACCATAGCAAAACCCATCTTCAGTTACCATCTAATGTCCTGGACCTCTTTTCTAAAATCTGGGTGCTAACAGATATTTTCATCTAAACATGCTCCCAGATGAACATGTGGAGAACATTATGTCCCTCCACTATTATTAGTCTAAAAAATGACATAAGCCAAAAACCTGAGGGTCATCATAAATTTTATTTTTCATTTAATCAATTGCAAAGTCCTGCTATTCTATATTATTAACATCCTTGGGATGTCTTCTCTGCATTTCTGCTGCCCCTAATTTAATAGAGGCCATCACCATTGCTCACCTCCTAATTGTTCTTTCCATCTCCAATTTCAAACCTTTCCAATCAATTCTCTAAATGAGATGTCAGCAAACTTTCTGTAAAATGTCACGTGGTAAATATTTTAGGCTGTACATCCATGTTGTCTCCATCACAACTCCTCAACTCTGTTGTAGCAGGACAGCAGCCATAGACGCTATGTGAAAGGATTGGGTGGAGTGATGTTCCAATCAAAGTTTATTTATTTAAAAAAAGGCAGCAGATGGATTTGGCAGGTGGGATGTGATTTCCTGACTCCTGCTCTAAAATGTTCCCAAGTAAAATTTCTAAATGACAAATTAAATCCTATTGCTAGCTTATTTATTCATGGCTTTTTCATTGTCTACAGCAAAAAATAAAACCTACATCCTTAGCATGATGTAAAAGAATCTTTTTATTATTTCTGCTTTTCACTGCCACTTCCCACCCCACACCCACACACTCTGTATTTGTCCACTCCCATCAATTTGTAGTTGCCCGAATCATCACTCTTTTTGTTATTTTTGTGTCTTTGCAGTAACTATGCTCATTATCACATGGTGTAAAGAAGTGCCCTTTATTCCATTGCTGCTGCTTTCCTACTCATGAGGACAAGGACCATGTTTCCTTCATCTTTGTATTTTCAGGATCTGGTTCAACGCTTGCAAAGAGTTTGTTGAATGACTAATTGCCTGAATAAACACATACACATAGGATATCACAAAGTACATGGATTTTTAAGAACCATTTTTATTTCAGCCATTCTAATAAAGATTCCCCTCTCAATTATGTACTCAAGAACACATTTCACCGAGTTCGTGCACACCTATAATCCCAGCACTTTGGGAGACCAAGACGGGCGGATCAGATCAGTTGAGCCTAGAAGTTTGAGACTAACCTGGGCAACATGGCCAAACTCTAAACCCTGTCTCTACAAAAACAAACAACAACAAAAATTAGTCAGGTGTGATGGTGCCTGCCTGTAATCCCAGATACTTGGGAGGCTGAGGCAGGAGAATCACTTGAACCCAGGAAGCAGAGGTTACAGTGAGCTGAGATCACATCACTGCACTCCAGCCTGGACAAAAGAGGGAGACCATATCTCAAAAAAAAACAAAAACAAAACCAAAAACAAACCCACCACATATTTCACATAGGTTTGGACAATGATCACTCCACTAAAACAGAAATAGAGATGCTTTTTCCCATTAATGTGGAATGCTCTACACTTGTTATTTAGGATTACATTTATGTGCTAATATTACAAAAATAGAAAAAAAAAAACTTGAGAAAAAGAGAGCAAGAGAGCCACCTTGCAGTCTGTTAAGCTATAAGTTTGGATATCACTTCTAGTCTTCCAAATAAATATTTTATACAAATGTGTTATATAATATATATATATATATATAAAATGTTCTTAATTAAAAACAGGAATGCTGCTTCCTTTGCATACAATTCTAGATGTTAGCTAATAATTTAGTGATTAAGAGTTATGAAATGGAGCCTTCATTAAATAATATTTGCTAAATTATTGTCAGAAAATTCCTTCACTCTTGAATAAAATGCAAAATTGCTCATTAAGATACAGACTATACTATTGTTAATTGACATTCCACTTCAAATAATTTAAGTAATTTCTTACTAGTAATAAATATATGTTTACTTAAAACATTATTATATGTTGTGTTAGTAATAATTTCAAGGACTTGTAGATTTAACTATATAACCCAAACAAATTAAATCTTTCTGATGACTTGAGCAATTGAAGATAAATGACTACTGACCCCATTGCTTGATCATATGTCTGACTATATAGAAATTTAACTTTTCTTTTAATATTGTACTGATAAGCGTTAGTCTAAGTCAAGGCACATAGCAAGACATATAACTGGTTTAATTATTTCTACTGAAATAACTCATGATTGTACTGATTGTACTGGATGGAAATATATAACTAAAACTAAAGCTATAATCTTCTTAGTTTGGCTGAAAAAAATTCAGTGATGAAAACTATTTCCATACATGCTTTAGTTATCCTTAAAATGCACTGTGGCAGTTAAAGATGGCTACATATTCTTTGATATGCTTCTTATCAATACAGTGGATCTATTTTCTCTCTCTCTATGGGCTGCTCTATGACTTATTTGATCAATAGAGTATGAAAGAAGTGATGCCACATCATTTCTGGAACTTAACTTTTTAAAAGGACTGGCAGTTCCATCTTGGTTTTCTGGAGCCCTTGTAACCACCTTGTAAGAAGACCAACTTCATGTAAGAAGTCCATGCCTCAGAGACCATGTGGAGAGGCAGTGTGACTGCATGGAAGTAGAGAGTGGTCCCACTGAGCTCAACCCTCCAGATATGTTTGTGAAGGCACTAGGGAGGCAAATGAAGCCATGTGGTCAACCGTGTACACTAGCTTGCCACTTACCACCATGTGGCCTCAGTTGATATCAATGAGGCATAAGAATTGTTCAGTAGAGACTTATCAAAATTTGTGATCCACAAAAATCAAGAGATATGAAAAAATAGTGTTTTGGACTAACATAGTGATAGATAACATAAAACTGGCATTTAAACATCCTAAATACTCAATTGCTGAAATAATAAGATTTAATGTTATGAAATGACTTTCATTCATGCGATTTATATAATACGTAGATTTCCCTTCATCCAAAACAGCCACATTTCTCTCTTTAAAAAAATCAGATAACTTGGGTAAATAACCATTATTTACATGATCTTTTTAAGTAAAAGTGAAGAGCTTTACCAAAGATTAAGTTGAATATATCTTATTTATTTAGAGCTTTATTTTATTAAGTATTTTGGTATACATTATTATACCCAATTTATTTATATATCTCCCTGAGTTAGGCAGGGCAGATATTATTATTCCCATTACAGACATAGGAAAATTGCAATTTGTAGAGAAATGGCTCACTTCAGGCAATTTGGCAACAAAGTAAGGAAACAAATACCAGTATCCAAATTTTCAGAATTCACATTATCTTTTAACATCATCTACATGATCTCTGGTATCAGACAGCCAGTATATAAAACTTCTATACTAACACCTTGCATAAAGTCTGATACATCTCTCAGGAAATACACCAAATGTTTCCTTAATAAATAACTCACAAGATTCCTTCTATTAGCAATAGGAATTGCCCAACTAGACATAGGACACTTTTTTTTTCATATTCTTTTAACATTGACATATTAACATACAGGAATATTGTAAGACTAATAATTAGGAATTTTGGACTAGTGGCATAGAGTTTGTAAATAATGTATTTAAATTTTATTTGTATGTTCACTGAATGTGAATTTCAAAGTGACAGAAATTGGACCTAATTTTCCCCATTAAATTTGTTAAACACTATTATAATCCCTGTACTATATTTATAGGCATGAAAATCAGTTGACATGTGAATTAGTCAACTACTGAAACAGCCTTTTTTAGTGATATAGACCTAAACTATAAATTTGTATCATAGTGAGATTTTTTTCTTAGGTTCTTCTCATTTTTTTCCCTTAAAAATTCTCCTTAATATCCCTAATTATTCCCACTGTACCAATATTTTTAGCAAATCATATTCTTTCTCATTGTTCACATTCCTTAAATATCAGGAAATTATCATCTCTACCTCTAAGCACGGCTTCGTCATGTTCTATCAAGTGAGATCCTGCAAGCTTTCTTCATTAATTACTGTCACCTTTTCTCTTAATCGTTTTGAATTTTTGAAAGTTTCTTTAATTTGCCTTCTCAAATTGGGATACCTAAAATTAAACATGCTATTCAGAAAGTATTTTCACTGTAGCCTTTTTCTTCTCTTAACAATATTAATCAGAAGATTATTTACCTCTTTAAAATTTTCATTTTCAATCATATCCTAGTTAAGATGCATTCAAAATAATTTAAATTTTGTAGTTGAAATACAAGCCTACAATTCCATATTAACTCTCTGAATGATAAATCTTACAGCGTGCTAAGACGTCAGCAAAGTGAATGCCTATTCAAGGAATAATAAAGATTTCTACAAAAGCTGAGAAATACCTTACCTGAAGTTTCTGAAACTAAAATTTATGAATGGCTGGTGAGAAGATTGCATGTCAAGATTGCATGAACTGTTTTAATCCTAGAGAAGTTATATCTTATTCAAATATTTCCAGGAAGATTGTCTTAGGGTAATAGCTTGTACACATACACATTTTAAAAGAATTTAAACTTAGGTTTGTCTTGTGCATATGAACACATGCGGGTTTATATCTTGTCCACAATTATCCTTCAAGATAATAAAAAGAAAAATAGTGGCCCTAACTCTGAATAATATTACAAACGGGAACAAGCATAAATGTAGTTTTTAAGCTAGTGATGAAGGCAAAAATACTTCTAGTTACCTCTCCACAAAAGTCTAGCTGTACATTTTTTCACTTTGCCACTATAAAGCTATTTCTTTAAGAATTCAGAATGAAATGCTACTAAATATTTGGAAGATGTTAAGAAGGTGGACAGAATCTGACTGATAGCACGTAGAACAGTGAACATTTTATTTTTTAGAAAATGAATGTTTCAAAGTCGTCTGCCTACATTAAATATTTTTTTCATACTTTTCAAGGCAACTTTGCATTTCTGAGCTTTTCTTTTTCTTGAAATGCCTTCTATTTTTAAGTGGTATTCATTTTAATAAGCACTTTTATCAAGAAAAAAATTACTGAAAAAAATGAGAGATTATGAAAGAATTCCTTATAAAACGATGAAGGTCAAGTTACAAAAAAACAAAGCAGCATTTATTAGACCATGACCCAGTTAATTAAAATAGAGTGCATATTTTCCTTCCTTTGATTCACAGAATCTCATATGTGTTTGTGGACCTGTGTGAGGATGTAAAATGGTCCCTGGTGAACCAGAAGTCCCATTTCCTCATCAAACTTATTAGTAGTTGTATTGACCAGCATGAAAATAGATTCTGCATATGAAATCAAAAGAATGAGAAAATATGAAGAACATCTCATAGGGAATAAATTTCAAGAGAATAGTGATTTTGTAAGAATAAGAGCTAATACTTATTAAGTGTCATTAACTGATTAAGCACTGTGGTAAGTACTTTCTGTGTATTAACTCATTTAATTGTCATAACAATCCTAATTATTATCATTCTCATTTTATAGATGAAGAAGCTGAGATGCAGAGAGGGGAAGAAATGTTCTGTTTAACTGCTCGCAATGGGTAGAGTTGGTAATTGAACCCGGACAGTCTGGCTCCAGAGTTTGCTCTAATTGCTTCTCTGATTCTCAAACTTGAGAGTGTATCAGAATCCCTAGGAGGGTTCATTAGAAAACAGATTTCTGGGTCCCAATTTCCGAGATCCTCATTTAGTATGTCTGGGGAGAGGACCAAATTTTCCATTTCTAGGGAAGTCCCCAGGTAATTCCGATGCTGCGGGTCCAAGGACCACACTTTGGGAGCCACTGCATTACACTATACTGCCTGTTAGGAATTGCACTTGATCAAGCCTGATTGTAGACAATTTTAGGTTCTATAAAATTTTGCTCTATGATTCAAATGTTTACTTTGGTCAAAGCAAATAATAGATCAACTTGCAGAAATTGTAGGTTACAATTAAGCTGACCATTAGAAAAGGCACATCAGCACAAATCCACTCATTAAATAATCATTTAATTGCCAATCATGGGTTTTGAGGCTTGAAATACAATGATGGGCAATATATATTGACCTTGCTCCCAAGAGCTTCACTTTAGGAAGACATGTAAATAATAATTCGAATATAGTGTCATGAGGGCTGCTATGGATGGGTAAAGGGGGTGGAGATAGAAAGGATCAGAAAATCTTCCACAGAGGAGAGTTTATGAATTGTCTTAAAGTGTGAATTGAAGTTAGCACTGATATATGTCTCATGAACATGGCATGGGCAAAGTTATGGAGATGAGAAAAGGTACATTGAGTATTGGAAATTATTAAGAATTTGGTTGGCTGCAGCCCAGGATTTGAGCAATGCATGGGAGGCTGAATAAAAGAAGATTAATATGATTACAAAGAAAATTATTAAAGCATGATGACTTCTTGGAGTTTGGATGAGAAGTGAGTGAGAGGTTTTTAAGCGAGAGATATGATCAGTGATGATTTCTAAATAGGTAACTGCTAAATGCAGAGTTAACAGCATTAACCTCGTAGTTGTTTGGATAACAGTTTAGAAAAAAGGATCTTAGCGGCAAGGAGACCAGTCCAGGCAGCAAATGACATAGGAAATGGTCTAAAATATTGGCTATGGGGTTGAATTGAAAAAGGAAGATTAGATAAATAAATAAATCATACTTGTATGGTTTTGGTTTAAGTACTTTACATATTATATTAATAACTCATAATTAATCCTCACAAGAAGGCTGGTACTATAATTTTCTTTTTATAAAGAAACTAAAGCAGAGAAAGTTCATTTACTGGAGGTCACACTGCTTGTCAGTGGTAGAGCCAGGATTTGAACTCAGGTATTTGGCCCCAGAGTTCACTTTCACAGGCAGGCCTGGTAAGAGATTGCATGTTGAAAGTAAGTAAAAAAAGGAGGTTTTAAAGGTTTCCTGGCTGGAAACAGTGGCTCATGCCTATAATCCCAGCACTTTGGGAGGTTGAGGTTGGTGGATCACCTGAGGTCAGGAGTTTGAGACCAGCCTGACCAACATGGTGAAAACCCATCTCTACTAAAAATACAAAATTAGCCAGGCATGGCGGCACATGCCTGTAATCCCAGCTACTGGGGAGGCTGTGGCAGGAGAATCACTTGAACCCAGGGGGCAGAGGTTGCAGTGAGCCAAGATCGCGCTACCGCACTCCCACCTGGGTAGCAAAAGCGAAACTCCATCTCATAAAAATAGAAGGGTTCCTACACCAAACACATATTTAAGCTAGTGAATATGCATACACTATCCAGTAGATACGGCTTAGGTAACTAATCCATTCAAGTGATTATCTAGTGGAATGTATAGGAGACCAGACATCCCTTTCAGCAAGTTTCCTTTATTATGATTCTCTAAGGCTGGAGTGAACACAGTGCCCATCAGAGGGGATGATTAATGAAACAGGCATCATCTCTAGAGCCATCGTCATGCTGACACAGGGACAGCACATCTTCCATTGGCTTGCCCTGCAAAAGTTATTGTTCTGAGAACAACTGCTAGGTTCATTCATAGAAATGAAGTAGTTACAGTCTTGGCTCGGGAGAGTCAACTATGTATTTGCACATTTCATTATAATGTGGTGCTGTAGTAGCCAATCTATAGGGTGCTACTGAAAATTAACAGGGTCAAGATTACACAACACTGTTAAAGTGTGGCCACAGCTACTAAACTTATCACTTCCCAAATGACTACAGATAATTTGTCTTTCATGGTGAAGAACAATAACATAAAATAGAGTAAGATGATATAAAGTAAGAGATAAGAAAATGGAAGACATTTCATTGCAGCTTCTCCAGCTTGGTGGACTGAAGACACCAACTTAGAATCACAAGCTCTTCCTGGACACTGAAATAGTCAATCCAATGTGGGAGAAAGAATTTTAGGACATTTCTGAAACAAAGTCTGTTTGTTCAAAAGACATATCCTTCTTGAAATCTAAGATAAAGGTACAACTTTGTAGCCCTAGTCATTTACCATCTGGAAAGGAAATGTCCTAGTTTACGAGACCTTGCTAAGGTCTGTAACTTAAAATAAAATAAAAAAAAAGGGGGTTCCTACACCAAACACATATTTATGGTAGCGAATATGTATGCAATATCCAGTGGGTATAGACTAGCCAACTAATCCATTCAAGTGACGATCTAGTGGAATGTATAAGAGACCAGACAAGACTGTAACTACTTCATTTCTACATACCTATTACCTAGCAAAATGTCTAATAAATGATAGACCCTTAATGTTGACTGAAGAAATTTGAAGCAGCAATGGGGATCCCAGAATGAACTTAACAGTTGTTCTCAGAACAATAGCAATGCATCATTACAGGGGAGACATAAAACAGGCAAAAGAAAGAGAAAGAAAGAAAGAAAGAAAGAGAGAGAGAAAGAAAGAAAGGTAGGTAGGTTAAGGAAAGGAAGGAAGGAAGGTGAAGGAAAGGAAGGAAAGGAAGGTGGAAGGAAGGAAAGAAGGAAAGTAGGAAGGAAGGAAGGAAAGAACGAAGGAAGGTAGGAAGGAAGGAAGAGAGGGAAGGAGGGAGGAAGGAAGGAAGGAAGAACTTTGAACTTTCTTTTAGAAACTCAGTTTCTAAGGCTTGAGGGTTCACAGGGAATTTTTAGGAGTACAATTATAGGAGGACAATTATTAGGAGTAAAATATAGAATACCCATTTACAAGTTCCACCAAAAGAAAAGCTTGCACAATTTTTGATAACAATAAGTGGCCAAGTGCAGTAGCTCATGCCTGCAAACCCAGCGCTTTGAGAGGCTAAGGCAGGAAGATGGCCTGAGGCCAGGAGTTTGAAAACAGCCTAGGCAACATAGCGAGATCCCTATTTTAAGAGAAAAGAAAGGAAAAGAAAAGAAAGGAAAAGAAAAGAAAAGAAAAGAAAAGAAAAGAAAAGAACAGGACAGGAGAGGAGGGGAGGGGAGGGAAGGGAAGGGAAGGGGAGAGAAAGGGAAGGGAAGATAAGAAAAGAAAAGGAAAGAAAACAAAAGGAAAGATAAGAAAAGAAAAGAAAAAGCTAGTCATGGTGGCACAAGCCTATAGTCCTAGCTACTTAGAAGGCTAAAGCTGGAGGATTGCTTGAGCACAGGAGTTCCAGGTCACAGTAAGCCAGTATACTCTAGCCTAGATGACAGTGTGAGATCCTGTCTAAAAAAAAAAAAAAAAAAAAAAGTAAGTGTGATAATTATTATGTGACTGTGATAAAGAAGAAAAAAATGATTATTGAGTGGTGGTGTTAATTTTTAGTAAATAATGGTTAGCTCCATTCTTCATCACAATGACTAAAAAGAAAAATGAAGCAATGGTTGAAAACATCAAGCTTTTCCAAGCCATTTTCCCTTCTTCAATAGCTAAAAGGTAAGAAAATATTTTGAACTTTCACATTCTTTTTGAATAACCTCTGAAACCACAAGACCTTAAAAATTTAGAGAATTCCACAGATGACAAAGAGAAAAGCAAGAATTATATATAAAAACAAGAGCAACTTCATCCAAAAATAACTCCACAATTATTCCTAATATTTTATTGAATATAGTTGTCTTATGATTCCACAAGATTGTACAGATTTTGCATTTTCACTAGATTATGTAACTTAAAATTAACCCTTTGGTAATGGAATATGTTTGAGAAACAATATGGAATCTGTCTTATTTTCAGGAGCATTATTGAATTTGTAGATAAGCTACACGAAAACAATCAGTGTTATGAGTTATTATCTTACAAATTATATATCATTCACATGCAATAAGTGAAATATTTCTCATTTTAAATTTCAATAGTTAAAATTTAGAATTTCAAATTGTATAGGAAGAGAATGCCAAATTATGGCAAAACTTGTGCAGAAATACAAGAAATTAGAAATCAAAGGGGACTTTAGGACATCTAAATTTTCTCACACATATCTACTTGAATGAATAAACTTAGTAATGCAGAATAAGGAAAAAAGCAAACTCTAAGATTAAGTGCCGATGACAGTATGTTATTTGATAATCAGTTAAGACCATTTCCTCTTCCATTCAAAACTTTAAAAAAATGAAAGAAATGTTTCTCTATTTCTTCCTCAATGGAACAAGGAGCATCACCTCTCCTTATTTCCCCGAGGTACAGAAAATAGTAAAGAGCAAATTAGTTCTCTCAGCCTAAAAAAAATACAATTTTATAGTTATAAAGTGTTTTCAATAACAAACGTGTTCCGCAGATAATTCCGAGGACATCGAATTTTGATCTTTAGAGTCTCAAGGCAAAAAGCTCAGAGCACTGTTAGTCAAGGGCGCCCAGATGAGCTGCTTTGGGGGACCCTCTTTGCCCCCAGTGCCCTTCTAAAGAGCATTGCCTTCGTCAGCCCCAGGCTAGCCCTCCTTAGCCTCTCCGAAGGCTTCTCCGCAGATCTCTTTTTCCGCCCCCCCCCCCCCAGCTCAACCCCACCAACCCTTAGGACCCCGCCTTGTCCCCTGCCTTCCCGCCCCTTCCCTGTCCACGCCCGCTGGGCTTCGCTGCGCGCCTCCAGGGACGCGGGCTGCACCGAGACTCCACTGCGCCGCGCGGCCCAGAGAGAAGTTAACTTGGAGCGCAGGAGCTTTTCTCGGGATCTCCACGGAGGCAGCCGAGACGCCTCAACCCTCCCGTCTCGGCTCCTTTTTGGGGAGTGCAAGCCTGGGACGGGGCACTTGGAATAAACCCACCGACCGAGCTGGGCCCCCAGAGTCTTTCAGGCCCCTCAACTCTCCTCCAGGCGCCCCAGTACCCGTTCTGCCCCCCAGCACCTTCTTTAGCTCACGTCTGGCGGCTCGCTCTTGTCCTGGAGAGGAGTCTGACCCCACCTCGGTGGTGAAGTTTACATTCTAAATTAGTTAATTGGTCTTTAAAAGATTTCCAAACACACCAAAGCTCTTTATCTACTTTCTATTTCAAAACTCTGTCTCCCTTTTTCCCTCCCTCCTTCCTTTTCATTTTCTCTTTCTCTCGCCCACCCTCCACCCCACCCCCCCACACACTATTTATTGGTTACAAAATCCCGTAGAAGTGTAATACACACACAGACACACACCCAGCCCCGCTGCTCTTTTAGTGCCTGTGACCTTGAAGCCGTGATGAGCCAGGGAGACGCTGCAAATGTACAGGCTCCACCAGATGAGGGACTTTGATGCTGGGGGGAGCTCTGGGGTCAAGCGCAGAAAGGGGAAATAAATGGTAAAATCACTGTCTCTAGACTCCTCAGATAAAATGGAAACAAGCACTTGGCATTTTCAGTACTGACAACCTGGCTTGTTTGTTCACTCTAATGAGCACTCTGGCTCCATTAATGAGCAGACTGAATCCATTATCATCATCATTTCAAAAGGCAGCGTGCCACTAAATAGCTTCCCATATTAGCAGGCATTGCCCTTGTTGTTCCATTTGATCAGCAGTGGCAGCAGGGAGCCCGCTGCACTCCCATTTTTTTTTTTCAGCTGGGAAATTAGCAAGTGAAAATTAGTCCCCTCAAAAAAATAAAATAAAATAAAATAAAAAAGGTACTATCGTGACCCCGAGAAAAAGCCATAATCTAGGATAACAGCGAGGTGATGAGAATTTGAGAAAGGGAGCGGTGATTTGGGAGGGGACAAAAGGAAGCCCTTTGGAATCAGCAAGTTTTTTTTTTTAATAGATAAACAGGAGTCCATGGAGAAAGGAAGACTCGTGTTTTTTTTTTTTCTTCCTTCTATCAGCACCTTTCTTGAGACATCAAAGAACCAATTAACTCTGTAGCAAATTGGGTGGCAGCGCTTACACTGGAAGGCTGTTGAGGGCAGCAAAGTCTCGCAGTGCAGCCTCTGACTGCTGGTGACAGGGCTCTCCTCCCCTCTCTCTTCTCTTTTTCTCCTTTCCTCTCTTCTCTCTTCCCCGCCTCTCCTCTCTCTTTCTTCTCTCTCTTTTCTCTGGTCTTTCCACCTTTCCTTCCTTCCTTCCTTGCTTCTTTCTTCTCTCCAGTCTCCTTCCCGCGCTCTCGCTCTTTCCCTTTTTAAACTGCAGTTCCTGAATGTATGCCATTCTCCAGACCTACGTTCTGTTCAAGGATTTTAATTAGGCCTTGACTCCACATTACTGTGTGTGCCTTTGTGGGTTGGTGAATGGCACCAGAGTGGTGAATCCCGCTTCCTGCAGCACTAGGCAGCCGTGTAAGAAATATTCTTTCAGCGGCGGACGCGCCACTTCACTACAGTCTGTCTTTTCACTCCCTTCCTTTGGCTTTTGTGCCTTTTGAAATTATTAAAATGTTAACATGCCTGCAGAGCCTTTGATATTTAAGACAAAAGAGGACGAATTGCAGGCAAGCGAGGTATTCAACAAACTGCAAATGGGGAAAAAATCAAACCGCCCTTTCTTCCTTTGCTATGCCAAGCTTTCTACTTCTAGGAATCACTTCTCTTTATTTTACTTTAAACACATTTAAAACATGTTTGCATTTCAGGATTCAAAGGCATAAATTTAATTACTGGCAAATATACACTCACATCTATATAAAGTATAGACTGCCTTATGTAGAAAAAGAACAAAGAAAGCTGCTTGCATTTGAACTTCTATTAGTTTGTCAGCAATTGATTCTCGTAGTTGTTATCTAGTTGCTGTCACTGGGAGGAAGTGGGATCCTTTCTATAGACCTTTGTGGCTGCAGGATCAGGTTGACTCAAAGTGCCAGGACTGCCTTCAACCATTTCCCCTTTTCCCTCTTGAAGATACCTACCCATCCACCCCTAAGTGTCACATCTTCAGATCTCAGCACCTTGTATGTTTAATTCATTTCAGAAACACAAGAAAGCAATTTGTAAATGCAAAGCCTCAGAAATCCCTGATTACAGAATCTCCACCTCCTTCCTCTTCTCATTTCCAGTGGACGTACCTTGCCCACCTCCCACTCTCTTCTAATGCCCATGGGATGGAGAGTTCTCCCAAGCCTTTCCTTGGTGCCTAAGCCATCACATTGCTTGCAACTTCACAGAGATTATTCTTTAGGAAAGCATACCATTTCATATAATAAGCATGTACAACAAGCTATCATATTTCTGTTATGAGTTAAATCAAATAATGATATGCTACTACTTTATACTTATAACGTGTCATATACAAGTGTGTATACATAGGTAGATATTATACATAATAGCAGCCCAAGTGCTATTTACCTGTTTTAAATTCTAGGTTTATTTTAATAGGAAATAAAAGCAGCATTTTTTCATTCTTTCTTAAAGGCAATAAATAAGCTCATTTGCATGTCTTTGGAGAAAGTTGCTGCAATAGAATTGGGTTTACCTATTTGGCACAGTATGCAAAGTAGGATTGGCTGGATCAATTAGAGAATTATCTATTTATGAAATGTCTGGCTTCAATGAAAAGAGCTGGTCCAATTATGAACTGTTGTCTTGACAACTGGGAAGGACTGATTGGATCATTTTATCAGTAGGGTTGCTGATGATTTCAAATACTGAAAAGCAAAAGCTACTGGAAAATAGTAATAAACTTAGGGGAATGAGAAAAGAAAAAAAGGGATGTGTGCGTGTGCGTGTGTGTGTGTGTGTGTGTGTGTTGGGGCATTCTGCACATGTGGGTAAGCACATGGGCATTCTGCACATGTACAGGGTGCATGGATACAAAAATTATAGCAAAAGGAGTTTTCGCCAAGAAGGGCCATGCAGATTTCTTGGCAAAAAGCCAGAGTTGCTATTGTAAATTTCCTAGTCAGTTTCAATGTCAACCTAAGCTCATATTTGAACCTGGAATCAGGGCAAAAGCATTATCGCTCTGTCACTTTGTTGCCAGAAGTGGAATATTTTTGTTAATATTTTACTGTTACATCTGACAGGATTTCACATTTTCTGTAGTCCGCCTTTAGTACATTGAACTGCCAGACAGAGAAATTAATACCCTGAGTGACTGTATTTTAATTAAGCAATTTCATGCAAATTACAAATTTTAGATTGCCAAATAATATATTGCACAAAAATTGTAGGCTGGCTGATCTGATACGCATGGAGTATTACTCTTCCAGGCACTGTGCATACATGGGAAAATGAACAAAAATGCTAATTTCCAATCTACTATGCAAACGGTAAAAGATGCCTATTTAGATACATACGCTTTTCTTACGAAGGGTAAACAGTTCTTTAATTTAATATAGCTGACACTTGAAGATGTGTTTTTCTCTTTTACAAAGATAATTTTTGCATTGAACAAGTAAATGAGAATTCAAGTAGAAAGCATCTTGTTAATGGCAACTAATAAAAACTAATATTGCATAGAGTATAATGATATTAAACCTTGTAACTGGTACATAAAGCAAGATCATTCCTATGGTGACTCTGTCAATGAACATCAAATATAGTTGCATATTAAATATATACTTTTTAACAGAATAAAATGTTAACCCTTTCAGCAAATGACTAATCATCCCTGTGGGATTCTACCTTAAAATGAAAGTAAAGAAATGGTGTTCAAAGAAAAAAAATTAAATCGAAGCACATAAAAAATTCTTATTACTTTCTAGTTTTTCAATCAGATTTATAAGACAAGAAAAATTAGGAAACTCCTTGTTGAAAATGTAACAACATATAGACTATACACTTTTCCAACATTCAGAACTTAAAGAGCTAATCCATATAAATGAACTTTAATGAAAGAATCACTTGTTTCTGTTTTCTTAGTATGTTCATGTTGTATCAAAAAAGAAGGGATGAGATTACACTTCTCTTGCATACAACTCCTCGTAGAGTTCTCCAGATGTGACTTACTTCCTGTGAAGATATATTCCTGTTCATAAAAACACAGTTTGACACTCTAGGAATTAAAAAAAAAAAAAAAGCAATGTAGCATTTAAGTGCTGCTGCGGTACCACAGGTTTCTCAAAACAAACAGTCCAACTAGCATTGGAAAAAAAATTAGCAGAGAATTCTAAGAGATCCATTGAAAACCTTACAAGACGGTTTCTCAATTTTTGAGACAATATACACATGCAAGTTGAGGTTTAGCTAAGAAAGAAATTGATTTGGGAGTCTATGCAAAATAATCTTCTTAATCATTGCTGCTGCACCAGATAGTTTGTTGTCTCCTTCAGTTTCCTGTTTATTCTCATTCAGACATAGCTCCAAAAAGTTGGGATCAATTATCAAAAATATCATATCTTACGACTTTAGTAACTTTTGTTTTTCAGACTGAACATCGCTATCTCTGGTTTTGTCTACACTGGCCTCAGAACGTTGTTTCATAATCGGGGAGGGTCTATTGTAGCCAGATCTCTCTCTTACTATGTCTGGGGTAGCTTTGTAACTTGGGCCCTTGTGAACACTATTTAAGTTTGATAAGAATAATGGAAACTAAACCCTGTAATTAGCACAATGTGGGTTTGATTATACAGTTAACTTCTGTGCATATTACACAGTGGAGCAGCCATATTCCTGAATTAATTGCTAATGATTTCCTCACTAAAGAATTGATGACAACTTTCAGCATTTTCATGTGTGTGTATATGTGTGGTCTGTATTCTGGTGCAAACCAAATTTGTACTCTGCTGAGTTTTGCCCATCATTTTCTGTGTTCTGCTATATGTGGCCACACTGATCAGATCAGCAGCTTCCTTCTAAGAAGACACTGACACTACTTCCTGAAAGATTTTCATCAATATTTAAGTCATTGCTCAAAGTCATTATTTAAAACTAGGTGTTTATTAATGGCCTCAAGGTTGCCCTTAAGGAAGATTGGGCTGAATCCAAAATCCTTGAAGGCACACTGGAAGTTGGGAGCTGGAGAGACTAGAGGAAAACACCAAGTTTTAAGGGTTAGGACTGAAATTATTAATAAGTGATGAAGCCAGGATTTTGGATAAGGTGGGAAGTGAGTTAGCATGGGTCATGTAACCATCTCTAACCCAGTTATTTTGAGGACTTGGAAGGCAGCCTCCGAGTGCCCACATCTGGGCCATGGGCAGACCCAGAAACCAGGGAATGTGTGAGTCACATCTAAACCACTGGAACTGATAAAAGGAGGAGTGGTTTCCCAAGAAAAAGGATTGCATTCTCTTCTCAATATAAAGGATGATGGGCAAGCAAAACAACATGGGAATCATAGCCACTTTCTAGCTTTTTTAATTTGAACATCTTACATCACTTTTCTGAGCCTCAGTTTTCTTATCTATAAAAGGGACAAGACCTTCTTTGAAGAATTGTTGTGAGAGTGAGAGATAATTTATGTGTATTGATTCTCAAGCATTGAACATAAAAAATAAGAAAATAAACTTAAGTGATACCCTAAGAGCAATGCTTATGTTTAATAAAAATATGTCACTATGTATGTAAATTTGTGTGTATTAACACTTAGTTATATTTTTAAAGGCATGTTTAAAAAAAATGACAGAGAAACTAAGGTCAAAATGTAAATACTGATTGCCTTTAGGTAGTAAGCTGATGAGAAATAATTTTTTCTCCAGCTCTTATATGTTTTCCAGGTTTCTTTAATAGCCATATACTTATTTTGTAATGTCAAATAAATAATCTTTTAAAATAAAACAGCAAAAAGGCAAGATGTTATCATTAATCCTAAACTTTTTTCTAGGTATATTTAAGTCCAACAATAATTCTTCACAATTCACTGAGTACAAAGAACGATTTAACCATCAATGTAACATCCCTTTTTAGTTGTTTATTTTTATTTTCCTTTTATCAGGATAAATGGTGCTAAACTTGTTAAAAATTTTCATACTAAATATGTGAGGACACCGTTGCCTATTAAAGAGTGACTAGTAGTTCTAATTAAAACAAAATATGTAATTTAATCATTATTTCTTTCATTACTTTTTTCCAGTGCCCGAAATCATATTGGAATTGTCCTTTAACATTTATGCTATCAAGGGTTGAATTCAAAAAAGTCCGCATTGGGTTGAATTCAAATAAGTCTATAACTAGAGATGTCAAAAGGAACTTACAATAATACTAGTTAGTTGACTATCTGTATAGTATTCCTACTGCACTTTTGTGTGTATGTGTGTATGTATACTAACATAGACACATGCATACTCACACATAAACACTAGTTCACCTACACTTAATTAGAGTCCTGTTTCAATAACTCTTATTTCCAATAATGCTGAATTTAAGAAACCTGTTTTAACCAATGGGCTTTTAACAATTGTGCTTGCAAAATTGTACTGATATTTAAAGGTCTTATCTGTTATAAGAATTCTCATTGAGGTTAAATAGATTTCATTCAATAAAATTTGGTAGTGTGAGGATAATAATGTCAAAGAAAAAAAAAGAGGACAATGCAGAAACACCACCAAGCTTCTTGAAGTTTAAAGGTGGATACAGAACTAAAAAGAAAAATACAAGAAATGTAACAGCTGCTATGGACATATATATATAAAATGCAGTGAGACCATAAAAAAGGGACTTGCTAAGTTTGCCCTACAGAAAGGAAATTAGGGAGGCTTCAGAAGCAGTAGCTTTGAGAGGAAATTTAGACTGAGCTAGAACCTACCGTCAGTCAAGTGAACAAGGAGAAGGGACAGCATAACAGAGTCCATTGTAGCAGAGTGTGTTTCACATGCTGCTGGTGGCAAAGGTAATATTTCAGGTTACAAACTAATGAGCCGTTTTTGTAAAAACTTTTCACTTGAAGTCATTACAGTTCACAGGAAGCTGTAAAAAAAATGTACACGAAGGTCCTATGAACCCTTCATCTGGCTTCCCCCGATGTTAACATCTTGCCTAACTATAGCACAACATCAACACCATGAAATTGACATTGGCACAACCCATAGAATTTATTCACATTTCACCAGTCATACACATGCTTATTTGTGTGTGTGTGTGTTTCTATTAAATTTTATTCCATGTATAGCTTCATGTAACTGCCACCACAATCAAGATACTGAACTGTTGTATCACCACAGGTTCCCTTGTGCTACACTTTTGTAGCTCCTATCTCTGCCCAGACTTACCTCATACCCACTACTCCCCATCAAACCCTAATCTCTGTCAGGCACTTATTTGCTTTTCATTTCTATCATGACATTACTTCCAGAATGTTATGTAAATGGACTCACAGAGAATGTCACTTTTGGAGATTGACTTTGCCTGTCACATAATTCTCTAGAAATTCATCTAGATTGTTACACATAGCAATTAGTTGGTTTCTTTTTATTGCTGAGTAGTATCTGTTATATGGATTTACCAAAATTTGTTTAACCTTTCACCCGCTGAAGGACATTTCCATTTTTTCCAGTTTTTGTCTATTGCAAATAAAGCTTCTACAAACATTTCTATACATGTTTTTGTCTGAACATGAGTATTAATTGTATAAGAGTGCTGGGTGGTATGGTAAGTGTATTTTTGGCTTTAAAAAAACTGCCAAACTATTTTCCATGGTGACTGTATCATTGTACATTCCCACAAGCAATAATGAGTAATCAATATTTCTTTTAAAATTTTTATAGTTGCATATATATTTTAGGTTACTTTTCATGTATTAAGTGATTTTCAATTATGATATAGTTTCCTTTTTAAAATAAGTATTTTAAGGGAAAAGTTGAACTACTGGCTAAGAACAATACAAGTAATATTATAGCATTAGTTTGTTTTCTTGATAAGGCAAAAATAATTTCGGTGGTATAAGAAGGAAAGAAATTTGGGAAACTGTGGCTTGATGGCTAAGTACCCTGACTTTGACTTTGCTTATTAAATATTATATAGATATGGTACCTACTCTTGTTTCATCACTAAGTAGCGATGGCTCAATTTTCTTATTATTTTATTTATCATATGAATAACAATATGTAAATATTTAATTATAGTTAATAACAATATGTCTGTTAAGAGAATGAACTGAGACAATATGTATAAAATAGCTAGTCCAATGCTCAGAACATTGTGAATCTCTTAGCTTTTGCTTCAAAGTGAACAGCTGTCTAGCGCAAATTGACATGAGGCCATAGTATGCAGAGATCATATAATGATCATAACATTGCATGCAACTAAAGAAGTGTAGCAATGTCAATACTATATAAACTTGAAGGAGACATATTGCCTTGTATAGAGAAATTAATAATAGAGGTAAGATTTAACCATGGTATGAAAGTATCCTCTCTTATTTATTCTTTGCATAATTTTAAGTATTACTTCATAGAATAGGGTTAAAGAAAATCTTTTTCAAATTCATAAAAATTAAACCTAACCCTTTATGATGTAAAGTTTGATACTTCATTCTTGTTTCATTAGTTTTTACTTGGATTCTCTCTTTTGACTCCAGAAACTCAGAAGCAGTTTTTTTGGGGGCAATTGAGAGGAGAGGATGTCGTCTAATGGGAACCCAGGCTTCAAGAAGAAATCTTAACTACTTTTCTGATTTTGAGACTCCAATAAATTGCTGAATCTTTCCATTCTTCTATATTCTCCTATGTACAGTAGGCATTAATAGCCTCTCTAAAGCATCTTCCTGAGGATTAAATGAAATAACATGTTTAATACTCCTGACACATAGTTGGACCCACTAAATAGTAGCTATGTTTTTAAAATGTTTCTTCATACTTAATCTGTGATTAAATCAAACTCACATGCGTGTAGGACTGTATTTGTCCATCTAAACTGAAGGTTCTTTGTGTAATCATTGCAAAATGGAGTTAACTGCAAGGGTTTTTAAAGGGGTGTGTGCTAGGTTGGGGAGTGGTGAGTGGACCTGTGTGCCTGTTTATATTCATTCCAAACACCCAATACTCATTTATTCATTCACTCATTTTATAAGTAATAACAATAACATTAAAACCTAAGGTGTAAGGCCATTGACCTGCTTATAGCTCTCCAACAGTCCCACTTTCCTATGGATGGCTCCAATTGCACACATCATTTATTTGAGCCACTTTCTTGATACAGAAATTAGCAATCAGTAGTCATGTTTGAATGTAAGTTAAAAGAGAAAGCTGAAGAGTGAAAGAGTTTCATACTTACTCACAGGAGATACTGGGGAGAAAATCCACTTTAGTTTTTCTAATAATAAGCATCAGAGACATATGGAAGATTGATGATAGTGGTAATTTTTTTTTGCTCGTCATAGCAATTACATAGAATGTCAAGTAGACTTTTCAATTTTGAGAGACTTTATAATTTTTGGTAAGAAAGAATATGTAAAGGAAGCTCATCAGGATAATAGCATCACTCTTAACCCTCTTAAAATTGCAGATATTCCCCCCTATAATTGGTGGGAAATTTACTGACCACAGAATAGAATTACAAAAGAAAGCTGGTCAAGAAAATAAGCAGAAGCCATCAGAAACATTTAAGATTACATATCAGAAAATCTTAAGGTTTACTTGTTACAAAATATTTGGCTTTGCAGGATTAAAAAGTATTTAAGTGGGTTGTTATGGTTAAAATACTATGAACTGTAGACTAAATAAAGAATAGCCTTGTAATTTCAATATCATCATATATTTCTCACTATGTAATTAATGGACAACAACATTTAGGAAAGATTTGAATTTTACAGTAAAATTTTAAAATGTGCCTTAGTATTATTAAAGAATTGTGTTTTTATTTTTAATTTCAACTGGTTGATGCACTAGTGTGAATGCTTTTTATGATTTTTAAAATGATTTTTTGCAACATTAACTTTTATAATATGAAACATAATTAGGACAATGAAATAAGAAGTGTTATCTATCCCAACAGATTACAGTGATCATCTTCTTTGTGTTTCTCTCCCCGCCCCTCACCATTCCTTTTTTTGTCTTGCTTTTCATTGGGCACACATGAATTTTGGAGAAACCTTTCTATAGGATATGTAATTCTTTCCAACTTCTCTAAGTTTCCAAGACATATTCTTCTACCACTCTCAAAGATTTTGATTCTTAAAAGAAATTAAAGCTAAAATTTTTTTTATTACACATTAAGTTCTGGGATACATGTGCAGAATGTGCATGTTTGTTTCATAAGTACACACGTGTCATGGTGGTTTGCTGGACCCATCAACCTGTCACCTACATTAGGTATTTCTCCTAATGCTATCCCTCCCCTAGCCCCCAAACCCCCAACAGGCCCTGGTGTGTGATGCCCCCTCCTTGTGTCCATATGTTCTTATTGTTCAACTCCCACTTATGAGTGAAAACATGCAGTGTTTGGTTTACTGTTCCTGTGTTAGTTTGCTGAGAATGATGGTTTCCAGCTTCATCCATATCCTTGCAAAGGACATGAACTCATCCTATTTTGTGGCTGCATAGTATTGCATGGTGTATATGTGCCACTTTTCCTTATCCAGTCTATCATTGATGGACATTTGGGTTGGTTCCAAGTCTTTGCTATTGTGAATAGTGCTGCAATAAACATACATGTGCATGTGTCTTTATAGTAGAATGATTTATAATCCTTTGGGTATAGACCCAGTAATGGAATTGCTGGGTCAAATGTTATTTCTGGTTCTAGATCCAAAGTTTCATTTAATTAACAATTACAGCAATTTTCAAACCAATGTAAAATTTTCTTTGGAATTATTTATTTAGAAAAAGCAACTAATTGTTATATTTCTTGTAGCTATTATTAATGAAACAGTATATTCATTATTTTTATCTATTGAGTGTCAACATTCCAGAAAAATATCTTCTTTAGTCCCAATAAATCTGAACTGCCTTGTTTTCAAGGATTTATGAATTAGTTAGACTCAAGGTAGGATCATCCTTTCTAGATATTGATACTAGAAGAGCATATCAATTAAAAAAATTGACCAGATTTTGGAAAGTATGTGCTATGAATTGAATTGTGTTTCTCCCAAACTCACATGTTGAAGTCCTATCCCCAGTGACAATATTTGGAGATAGGGCTTTTATGAGGTAATTAAGGTTAAATGTTGCCAGAAGGGTAGGGTCTCAATACAATAGGATTGGCAGCTTTATAAGAATAGGAAAAGAGAGTGATCTCTCCCTCCACATTCACATATCAAGGTAACAACATGTGAGGACACAAAGAGAAGGTGGCCATGAGCCCTCACCCAAACCAAACCCTGCTGGACATTGATGTTTAACTTTCTAGCCTCCGGAACCGAGAGAAAGTAGGCTTTTATTATTTAAGCCATCCAGTTTATTGTGTTTATTAGGGCTGTCCAAGCTGACTAAGAAAGCCAGTATCCCTTCCAAAGCTAGAATGCTGCACTTGGAGACACAAATCCTGTGGTTTTGCGGCATCTCTGCCACTCGAAAAGTTTGCAGACATGGCCAATTCACTTACTGGCTTTGACAATCAATGCCTTTCTCTGTAAAACGAGGATGGTCATCTTGTTAGTAATCTTGATGGTAATCTTGGATTAAATAGGACAATAGAGGCAAAAATGGTTTCAAAACTAGAAAACATTGTATAAAAATAAAATATTCCTTTTAAATTCAAAATTATTCTTAGAAGAGTTGGTGTCAATTTATTTATGTGAGATATGTATGGATAAATTCTAAAAATAAAATATATATATAGTTGATATTTTTTACAAAGTCATTGTTTTAAAGAGCCAGTACTATAAATGATGACAAGTCGGAGTCAATTCTTCTCATTTTATGTTAAAATTTGAAAGAGTTATTATAAGCACATAAAATGCACCTTTGTAAAATGTGAAATATTGGGCTATGTAGGCTTGCTATAATGTTTCTTTTGCATTTACTTTATATAAAATATATTGTAAGTTCAAGTTTATCTTCAAATAATTCAATAGTTTGAAAGTTATAGCATGTGCAGTTTAATGAGTATTTTCTAATTTTTAGATGACTAAAACATTAACATTACTGAGACAGATGCAGTTAGTGAGCAAAAGAAGCAAGACTATATCATCATTTATTAAAGGAATGAGAAAATCTTGCATCCAAGCTTAACTAGGTTTTGGTATGAAAAGATAAAAAATGAAATAGAAGAACTCACAAATCTAAAAATGAGAATATTAGGGCCATACAAACTTTAGTGAATGTTAATAGTTAAATGAATAGATTGTATAAATAGTTGTTTTGATGTGGGGACAACATCAAATATATGGTAAAATGGCATTTGAAGTAGAAGTTATGGATTTTAAAGATAAAATAATAATAGTAATAATTGTGATCTATAACCCTTCATGACATTAATAAAGAATCACTGATGTGAGAGGAGTCCAACTTACTTAAATTAAAAATGAGATAATTATTTGTCAAATTTTAATAAAAACTAAAAGCAAAGAATACATACTTCTTGAGGCAAAGGGGACAATAAAACTACACGCAACTATATTCAATTTACACACTAAAACAAGAGTATAAAATATTCAAAGTTAAAGAATATGAAAATCCTTAATGAATGTTATCTTTAAAGATATTCTAAACTACAAATTACACAATAAGTATAACTGAAAGAATGGTTAAAGTAGATCAGATGCAGAGGAACAAAATAAAATGGAAGATGGCAATACAAATGTCAGACAAAATAGAATTCAAGGTGAAAACCATAAAAATAAATAAATTTTATATTTAATGAAAGGTGCTATTATCTTTTAGGCAGTCCTTATAATACTTAAAAACTTTTATGTAACAAAATAATGCCAACTAATCATATAAATTAAAAGCTATTGGAGATGCAAAAAGAAAAATAAAAACATGAGCATTGGTAGATGTTACTTAACACTATAATTCTAGGACAAATCAAATAGACAAAAAGCAAATGAATGTGTCAAGATATAAAGTTAATTACCAGCATGCTGTTTACTCAGTGGCAAAGGAGATGAACCCACAGGTTGATTCTATCCAACGAAAGACAAAGCAGGCTTGATAGAAGAGAAAGAGAAGAGAGGAGAGGAATACCAAACTACAGCCAATCTGAGAAGATTTGTTTTCTGTTTGCACATATTTGGGGCTAGTGATTAGCGAGCAAGAGTCTAGCCCATCCCTTCTTACATAGGCCAACTAGTCAGTATGAAAGGACACAGCTTTATTTGTTCATGGAATCCCTAGAAGACCTCACAAGTTTATTATGGTGTCTTTGTAACAAGCTGCCTCTATGAAAAAATGTCTACCAGAGTTCTTTTTTAAGCACCTCTAGTTAAGGTAGATGTGAATCATTTCCCTGTTCAAAATTTCTCAGGTATAATCAAAATTTATCAAAATACATATTGTATATAAAATGCATAGAAAAAATCTATGAAATAAAATACTTCACATTGCTAACATAGATATTTCTGGTGGTGGTGTTACTAAAAGTGATTTTTATCTACATTTTCCCAAATAATAAAAGTCTATTATATTTTTGTGATTAGGAAACCTAAAAATTATATTTTTTAAAATAATAATTGATCTCAATCATTGAGCATCCATGTGTCTTATATATGGTGTTTCATTCAGTTCTTCACCAAAAGCCAATATAGTATATATTATCACTCCATTCAGAGATAAGGAAATTGATCCTGAGAGACAGTACCTGATTAATCCAAGGATACCACTGATTCTACTATTTTGACCCACTAAAAATTAATGGCATTGCCAAGAAAAATAAAAGTTTGTGAATGGGTGCTCACATGTTGAAATAATGAATTAAGAAATAGAATAGACCTAAAGTGGCAAGTTTTGTGACAGTGACATATATATATATATAGATAGATAGATATAGATAGATAGATATAGATATATATTTATTTATATATAAATATTTATTTATATTTATTTAAATATATATTTATTTAAATATTTATTTAATTAAATGTTATATAATTATTTAAATATATATAATTATAATTTATATAATTATATAAATGTTATATAATTATTTAAATATATATAATTATAGTTTATATAATTATATAAATATTATATAATTATTTAAATATAAATATATTTAAATATATTTATTTAAATATATAATTATTTATATATATTTATTTAAATATATAATTATTTATATATATTTATTTAAATATATAATTATTTATTTAAATAAATATATATATATTTAAATTTGAACCTGGAGCTAGAATGCTCAAGTTTGCTGTGTCACACAATAGCTGTATGGTTTGGAGCACATAACTATATTTTTCAAAGTGAATTTCCTCCATTACTTTGCAATTATAATAGCACCTACTATTATATCATCATAGTGTTAGAAAAGGTAGTATTCATATATCTCTTAAGACTGCATCCGGTATGTTTGAGGGAGAGGAAGGGCTGTGTGGCTTGAGCGTATCAGCAGAAGGAAGAGTGAGATGAGGTGAGATGAGATGATGAGATGAGATGAGATGAGATGAGATGAGATGAGATGAGACAAGATGAGAGAGGTGAGAGATGACTAAGGCTTTTCCTTCAAGTGAGATAGGAAGCCATTAGAGCATTCAGGGCCATGTAATGACAAGATCTGACTTGTGTTTTAAATGGATTATGCTGCTGGTGTTTTGTAAATTAATAATGGGGTACAAGGGTAGGAGCAGGAAGACCTATTAAGATGCTATTTCAAATGCAGAAGAGAAATGATGGTATCTTGGACCAATAATTAGATCTGAGAGGGCCAGACTGTATGGTTTTGCAGGGTATCCATACACAAAGTTTACTTGTCATCATGACAACGCTAGGTAAGTCCAATATGATGAGATTGCTGTATACAGTCTCCCTACTCTACAATTATAAAACAGTGGCAGCTTATTATACAACTTGTGTACTTTCTTTAGCAACAGGTGAGTTTGTTTCAGATATCATTTAGTAATAGCAGATGACCTAAGGCTGATCAGTTGCCACCAAATGAAAAAGCTACAAATGACTGAAGTTAGAGCTCACAGTTGCTAATTGGCAAAATATTAGTGAGCAAATAAAAAATTATCAAGTTGTACTGCTTATTTCCAAGAAATATGCAATTTAACTATATAAAAATTACATTAAACATAATTGATGTGTTAATGAAGATTTTTAAAAAATCTCTTATTTATTCCAAAGTTGAGTGTAACTGCTTCTTCCCGTTAATAGATGGGAGAGGAATGGAAAGTCACATAAAAAGTCTGAGATTTGGAGAAGTATATCTCTATACTGTTCTCTTTTTGTTTATATTTAGGTAGGAGAAAGAGAAATGGTAACAGCCAGAGAAGATGACCTATTGTTTAGAAACGTTTATTAAATCCTTGAATATTCAAAGAAAAGGACAGAGCTACATTTGTCAGTTACAAGTAAGTTACTTTTCCTAAGTATAAGGAATATATCTCAACATTACTGGGAATCTAAGGAAAAGAGAGAAGCAGAGAGAGTCAGGGAGGCTAGAGTCAACTGGAGAAAAACAGCTTAAAGAAATTTAAAAAAAAAATGACTAACTTTTTCAATTCCAATCTTTTCTTATCATCTTGTGAATGTCCTTCCATCTTCCTAAATTTCCTGTGAAGTCCACATAGCAAATCCAATGCCTTCTTTAAGTGGTGATGGTGTTGACATGTGTTAAACAAACAAAAAAGCCTGGGATCCATATGTGAGTTAATGAATGAAAATGTCAATACATGGAAATACTATGACAGAGCAGGAATTTGGAGCCAATGTTGACTAGAAAAACATTAGACATCTGGCCCCTGCAATCCCCAAGGAGATCTGGGGACACATGGATCCCACTGCACATGTACTGGATTTTGCGCTATTCTGATATGGATCTCTAGAAACAAGGTACTTTGACTAATGTTTGAGCTAATGCCTCAGTTGGGCATTGATCATTTGAAATAATTGTGTATTGAGGATGTGACAAATCAACGGATAAATTAATTTCATCTATTTGCAGTATTTGGCAGGTCAGTCATCAACCTCAGGGTCTTTTCATATCCCTGAACCCTGTGGTTCTCTAGCTTTACTGCACATTAAAAATCCGTTGGGATCTTTGAAAAAATGTCTATATTTGAATCCCATCCAAAATTGATTAAATAAGTATTTCATGTGTAGATAAGCTTGAGAATCACAGTAGGTGCCAAATAACTGTAGAACAATTTAACCTGGGTATACTAGCTTATAATCCCTGGTTTGCACCAATCAACCAATCACTAATTGATTAAAAAAATAATTCCCTGACTACATAGAATATACTTTATTTAAAATGGCAGAGGAATGATGAAGCATGGGTCTTATCCTTAAAGAATTTATCATGAAATTGAAAGAACTAGAAATGACTGTCAAGAGTCAAAATCGCTCTATGACTTCAAGTATTAAAGTAATAATATGGGGCAGGGTAATTGGGAATTGCTTTAAGGAGGAACTTTATCTGGGTTACTGTTACTTTTGGAGAAAACCAGTAGATAGCTATTATGGAGGTCTATGATTGATCCAAGTTACTTTCAAATATCAGGAAATGTCATTATTATTGAAGTAGTATTCCAAATTTTAGAATTTGTTTTGTAAGCAGGCAGATATGATGAATGAGTTGCAAACCATAAAGACTGACTTTTTTTGAATAGAGTTTTATGCTGTTAATCAAATTCTATGGTAAAATTAGTCAACTAATATACATAGTACTCATTATTCTTTAAAGTAATTAAGGAGAAATTATCAGTCACATACATGATTATTATTGTTTTTATGCAATAAAAAATGGTTTCTCATCTTACTTTATTGTCAAGAATATATAATCTATAACATATCAGTGTAGAGCCACAGCTCTGGAGCCAGAACACCTCAGTTTCAATCCTGGATACTCTGCCTTCTGTGTGACCTTAAACATAGTACTTAACTTCCATCTCCTCTGTTTCCTTATATATGAAAAGGGGATAATACTATTATTTTTCTTTAAAAATTATCAGGGGGATTGAATTAGATAATACATGCACAGCATTTAAAACAGTACCTCTCAAATAGCCTGTCCTTAATAATAGCTGTTATTAGGGCCGGGCGCAGTGGCCCACGCCTATATTCCCAGCACTCTGGGAGGCCAAGGCAGGCAGGTCACCTGAGGTCGGGAACTTGAGACCACCCTGGCCAACATGGTGAAACCCTGTCTCTACTAAAAATACAAAAAAGTAGCCAGGCATGGTGGCAGTATGCCTGTAATCCCAACTATTCAGGAGGATGAGGCATGAGAATCAGTTGAACCCAGGAGGCAGAGGTTGCAGTGAGGTGAGGTCATGCCACTGCACTCCAGCCTGGGTGACAGAGCAACAATCTGTCTCAAAAAACAATTATTATTAATAATAATAGCTGTTATTAGTATCACTAATTTTCTTGGAAAACATATATTATTTGGTGATTATCATTATCATCTATAAACACACCAAAAATTTACATATATATATATATGCACACACACACACACGGAAATATGAAAGTCTGCTTTGTTTAAATCTTATTTCTAATAACTACAGTATTTGGTCCCTACAGGCCTCCACCGAAAGAGCCCTACAAGCTGTGACCTTTGGTAGGTTAATCATCCCTTCCATGCCTCAGTTTCTCACCTGTACAATGGGGATAATCATACTTCCTACTTCAAAGGATTGTGGTGAGGATTAAGTAATTCATGCAAAGCACTTAAAACAATACCTGGCACAAATTAAACACTATATGTTAGCTATTATTCCTATGATTATCATTATTTTTATGATTGTGCTCCATTCATGATCTTCCACTTCAATATTCCCACAGTTCCTCAGCTCCCTGAAGGGTTCTTTACTGGATCCCTTCTACCCATTTTAATTTCCCTGGTTGCTTGTGAGCTTTAGGCAGCAGAAAATGACTACCAGCTTGTTAATAGCATTTTGACTGAAACTCATTTTTATAGAATGTCCTGGGAATTTACATCTTAAGTCTTTCATCACTAATCCCATTGAAGGATATTCTCTAAGTGTAGGTAACGAAGAGCCAAAACGCATCCTCACTGCCTTGCACTGGTGAGGGCAGGAATAGAGCCAGAGTGAAGGGGGGACTGTTTTCTGGATCTTCGCTCCATTGTATATCTCAAGTAACTTCAAAGGAAATGTTGCTCTTTCCTTTTGAAGAAGGGAGAATGTTTTTTAGCTCTCTGACACTTAAAATTTGGAGTGGGAATAACTGAAGATGACAAAAATGCACTTGACTAACTCGATAATTTTTTTCCGAGGTTGGCATTATTATTTATATTCCTCTTTTTTAGGCTAATAATAGCCATGATAATGGTACTTCGGGTTCTATGTGGCTCTGCACTGACGTCCTTTTGGAAAATGAAAACTATGATATTTTTTTTTAAATGCACCAATAAGCAGGTTTTTTAACACTGAAAGGAAGAATAAATTAAAACTATTTTCTTAGCATTTTAGCAGTAAGAATATTCTAATAACACTAAATAGGTAAATTGTAGCATTCCATTCTGAAAATAATCAATTTAAACAGATTTCAGCTGTACATTTAAATCTAATCTGCATTATTAAATAAAAAAATGATAGTGCTCTATTTTGTTTTACCTGCATTTGAGAATAAGTCCCTTTTATCTAATGGAAGAGAACAAAAAGAACAGACATAGTATTTTAAAAACAGCACCCTAAGGATTTTTAAAAATCAGAAAATTGAAATAACTTTGTGAAGCTGGCATAATATGACTTTTAGAATTTTTAAAAAGCTTCTTTCATTAAAAATCACCCCCAAACTACATTCCTTATAAAAGAATTTCTCTACTCATTTTTATTAGTTTAGCTTTAATGTCAGTACTCAGGTTTATAAGTGCAGTATTAGAAAAACAATGGATTAATAATAGATGTCATATGATGCTTTTATATCTCACATTATGTTTGATTCCTCATTCCTTTTCTCAGTTGCTTTAATTCCTAAACACTCTCCCCCAAACAGAGAGCATCTGCCAATTTCATTATATGGGAACTTAATAATACTTAATTAAAATACAAAGCTCTACTTGCTATCTACTATTTAATTGCATGTGATTTAAATAAAACAATAATGGAAAGTATCAGATAGTTCATATATATTTCTATTTGAAAAAGGATAATATCTTGACTATTTCTTTGGAGTAACCATAGGTTTTATAATTTTATCTATATTATAAAAAGAAACTATATACAATATTACTCAATTTTCTTTCCTTCTAGCACTTAAAACTACATCTTATTGTAGCTTTTTAAATATTAACTTTTCTTTTGGACATTCAAAGCAATGCATTACATTTTTCTATATCTTAAAAAATTACTGTAAATATGTTTGTAATGGCTTCAAAATATTCCTCTGCAGTGCCTAATAAGAGTAAACATACTTTCACTAGTGATTTCTAGATCACATTATGATATAATGAACATACAGAAACCTGTACATATTTAATGTATACAACTTGATGAATTTGGAGATGAGTATACATCTGTGAAACCATCACTACAATCTATGCCATAAACATGTCCATCACCTCTAAAAGTTTTCTCCTGCCATCTTTATGTATTACTACTGTTAAGTTTCAGGGGGGACAAGAACACATAACTTAAGATCCACTCTGAGCAGATTTTTAAGTAGACAATACAGTGTTTTTAAACTATATTTACTATGCCATACAGTATATCTCTAGGACTTGTTTATCTAACATAAGAGAAACTTTGTAGCCTTTGACTAATACCTCCCCATTCACACTTGCCCCAGCCCCTGACAACCACCATTCTGCTCACTGCTTCTATGAGTCTATTTTAAATTCCTCAGGTAAGTTGTATCACGGAGCATTTGCCCTTCTGTGTCTGACTTATCTCATTTAGCATAATGTCCTCCAGGTTTATCCACATTTTCAGTGGCAGGATTTCCTTCCTTTTTTAATCCTGAAGACTATATATATTCTGCATTTTCTTTATTGATATATATGTTGAATAAATATTGAGGTGAATTTAATGTCTTGGCTGTGGTAAATAATGTTTCAATGAAATGAAGACGCTGTTATCTTTCTAAGATTCTAATTTCAATTACGTTGGATATATACTCAGAAGTGGGATTGCTGAATCATATAGTAGTCATATTTTTAACTTTTAAAGTAACTTTCATACTGGCTACACCAACTTACATTCCCACCAAGAGTGTTCAAATTTTCCACTTTCCTTTACTCCACATCCTTGCCAACAAATCTATCTATCTACCTATTATATATCTATTTATGTCTCTCTCTCTCTCTACTTATCTAATAGCCAACCTAACAGGTGTGAGGTGATATGTTATTGTGTTACAGTAAGGACTTTTTGCTTGAAAATTTTGGTGAAAACTGTTAGTGTATGATAAACTTCTAACTTAATATTTTTAGTAGAATTCATAATTATGAAATAGCTACTAGTTACTCTACTAATGTGAAGAAAGAATAATAATAATCATGGCAGGAGAATTCAGGTGCCATGAACTGTTGTTTTCTTTCTCTTTTTATTTATATCTAATAATAATTTTTGTAAAAAGAATAAGTAAAGAAATATGGATCATGGTGAAAAAAAGCTTGAAACAGTGCATTGCATTCAAAAGTAAATATGTATTTTGTAAGAAAACAAGTTTGAAAGTAATTTTCAGTGTATATCTTTTCATTTGTCATATTTGCTTCAAATCATTTAAAAAATAATGCATTATAAACTCAGTTGAAGTCGTTTTTGTGCCTCTTCCCTATCTTATTTCCCTCCATTACTTTCCACTAACAAGAAGTTGCTATTTAGTTTAGTTGTCCACGGTTTTATAGTTTTATAACATATTTATAAGACAAACATACAGAAATGGCTTAGTGTGAATTTTTGACATTTCTTAAATGTATATACATATAATTATAGTTCATTTAACTTGTACATGGTTATGCATTGTTTCCATGGTTGATTTTTGGAGACGGAGTCTCGCTCTGTTGCCTGGGCTGGAGTGCAGTGGTGCGATCTGGGCTCACTGCAACCTCTGCCTCTTGGGTTCAAGTGATTCTCCTCCTTCAGCCTCCCAAGCAGCTGAGATTACAGGTGTGCACCACCACACCTGACTAATTTTTGTATTTTTAATACAGACAGGGTTTCACCATGCTGGCCAGGATGGTCTTGATCTCCTGACCTCAAGTGATCCACCTGCCTTGGCCTCCCAAAGTGCTGAGATTACAGGCATGAGCCATTGTGCCTGGCCCCTACTTAACTTGTATATGGTATTTTTTTTTATACCAGGGTAAGCCATGGTAAGAGTGGAAGAAGCCAAGGGTGGGTGGTAACTATCTGCCAGGAAGAGAGTGGTATTTTATCACTGGCATTGTTTAGAATTGCCAACATTTTGTTGGTCTTATTGTTGTTAAATTCTCTACAGACAATTCTCCCCCTTTTTGTTTGCACCTAGGCAGAACACTCCCACCACCTCACGTCCACCTTCCTCCTTGGTATGCTACTACAGGGTATAAAGATTCTATAATTTTTAATTTTTCCTCTTTTTGTATTTGTGCGAGTCAGTGCTACTCAAAGTATATGGTTTGCAAACTGTTTAGACCTGGTCAGTAATGAGATAAGAAGCTTGTACCACAATGCATATCAATCTATTGTTTCCTTCATCCAGAAAGCCATGCTAAAAGACAAAACAAAACAAAACAGTATATGGAAATGAGGCAGTTTAAACCAGAGTATGTGTAATGAGGTAATTGATTTGCCTCTGAAGCAAGCCCCTTATCTCGCAAGACATTGGTAACAAACTGTTCACAGAGCAATACTATGCACTTTTTGAATAGCACTGATTTGGGATGGTTGCAATTTTTCTTACATATTACTCATAACTCAGAAAATATCTTTAATGTGCTTTCAGGCTCATGAGCAAAAGAGTTTCTCTGCACTTGTTCTTAGAGGTAGAATTGCTGGGAATTGGGCTATGTACATATTCAGCTTTCCCACATATCAGCTTTAAATTGCTCTCCAGAGTGATTATACCAGCTTACCCTCTGACCAGCATTGCTGTGGGTATCAATTTTCCCTAAACCCTCACCAATAGCTAGAAATGTCAGGCTTTTTTTTTTCTGATTGAATTGGAATAGTATGCTTTCTCTTTGCAAGTTTTTGTTTTTGTTTTTTGCTTATTCATTTGGAGGATTGATAAATTTTGGTTCTGGTTTTATACAAGATTGTTTCATGTTAACCTCATACCCAGTTAACTTGCTGAATTGTCTGACTAGTAGTGTTCAGAATTTATAAATAGACTCACTTGGATTTTATAAACAACTATATTATCTACAAAGTACAACAGTTGTGCCTTTCCTTTCCAATTTTTCCCCTCTAGTTTACCTATCATATTGCATTGGCTCAAATCATCAATGTAATGTACCTTCCTATTAAGTTTGAGAATGCTTCTATTTTTCCACTGTCAACTATGATGTTTGCTGCAGTTTATGCCTATGCATTTATGGCAGCCATGAAAATGTACTTTGAAGCCTTACAGTTATAGGAAATGGAGGGTGATTGACCAAAGGCCCCAGTGGCCACACTCTGAGACTTATTACTGTGTTTGCTCTGAGGCCATGCTTTCAATGGGTTGCTTCAAGCCAATGACTGAGCATGGCAGGAAACTAGGTTAGGCCCATTCTTAGAACACATGGTACTCCACTGATGGCTGACTTTGGCTTAAGGAATCCCTGACAATCTTGCTGAATCTTCTTTAAACTGCCTAAGAGTCTCAGATGCTTCCACACAACCTTCTTTCCTTTACATAGGGTCTGACTTGCCTCTTGGCCTGACAGCTCTCCCAGCTCCCTGGCTCCCTTTCCTTGTTCTTTCATACAGACATTTAATAAAATACTTGTACTTTTAATCCTGTGTTGACATCTGTTTTCTTCTATGAGGAGCTAGATTAACATAACCTTTATCTAACGAAGAAAATTTCCTTTCATTCCTACCTCTGTAGGAGTTTTTAACACTCATTTCCTTCTTGCAGGTGAATTCAATGTTTTGGCTCATGTCATTATTACTTCTCTTTGGAGGAGTAAAATGTCAAGTGAAGTTTTATTTGATTCTCCCTACACCTCATTTGCCCTCTCTCAGATCCTCATTTTTTTCCACCTATTCTTAAAATTGCTTGTTTGAAGTTGAAGAGACAAATCAGATTATCCAGCATTTTTCCCCTACCTTCTTTCCATCTAGGAAGAATAGTGAGACAACTTTCCTGTTTTTATTGGTTTTCTATTTTCTCATGTTAATCATAAGTGTTTTCTTCTGGACTCCTACCCATGCCCTACAGTCTGCTTTCCCTGAAGTTGTTTGTAGGGTATTAACAAAAATGTTCAAGATAATGGTAACTCATTGTCCTCCGTCATAGCTAGCTTCTGAGGTGGAGAAATGGTAGCTGCTTGTGTTATTTGATATCTTCTTTTTCTCTACCCCTGGATAGCACATGTCACCATTTATGGTATGCACTTGTGACCCTATCTCAATATAAACGCTATTCGTTTTTCATCTGTTTACCTAATTTTCTTTGTTACTCTTCTTAACTAGTAGGGAAAGAAACTTCTGTAATCTTCCTTCAACAGTGCGGTTATCCTCTGAAGTTACTTCAGTACCATTTTAACACACAATAGAAATGAAAACAGTGAAACTATATTAGCTCTAATGAAAAACAAACTTTGAAGTCAATGTTTTTCCCTGATTGGAAGCTCTCATTTATTATATCAGAGATACCATTCAAGCCAGTGCATTTAATTACAAAATTTGTGAATGGCACTTGTTTCCAGAAGCAGAATTCTGATGTACATACTTGCCAGCTGTTAGAAAACTTACTGCTGTGCAAATGATTTTAAACATATTACATTGAAATGTGTTTAGAAAAGGAGAGAGAATTCCCTAAAGACCTAATGCCAGTCTGTACTTCAATAATCCCATAGTATGAGTGAGTGAAATTCAGTATAGAGTGAATATAGGCCTCATTTGAATGTCTAAAGTCCAGAATTATTAGGTCAGGATGTCAAAGTCTGGGAATATTGGGTCAGAACACTTGGCCTGGCTCTGGCCCTCACACTGAGCAGAAAGCAAGGGATAAATTCCCAACCTAGCATAAACACAGTTCACCTGATAGAGAAATTGAGTAAGGTGAACTGACATCATAAACTCCTCCATACCAAACACAAAGCAGTGAATATAAAATATAATAATTTAATTTTTACTTAGCAAATCAAAAATATGAAAGGGAAATACTTGAGTGCCCAAAATAAGCACTTCAAAGTGAAATTGATGAAGAGGAGTTTAACAGAATGTTCTATGAGGATATTGGAAATAGATATATGCTTTGTACTAGGAGACAGTTTTAGTGCCTATGTTGAGGACAGTAATTCATAACATATTTCTCAAAAAAACCAGTTCTATATTTAATATGATTAGATTGTTGAGTTTTCTCTTATATGTTATAAAAAGACTTTATTGTGTGCAGAAAGTCTGAAAATTTAAAAAACGTAGCTTTTGAAATTAAAAATTCAGCACGTGGTTAAAAAAACATAAATTCATTGGAAGATGAGTTTGGCGTACTGAGGAAATCAAACATATTGATGAACAAAAGATGAAGAAATAGAAAATAAAGATGTCATGAAAACTCCGAGAATAAATGATGAGAAAGTTCAATACACATCAAACAGGAGTTCCAAAAGGAATGAAGAGGAAGACTAGGGAAGAGACAATAGCTGACAAAATAATGGCTAATAACTTCTCAGAATTTAGTAAAAACAGGAGTCATCTGACTGAAAAAGGCACACTGAATCTATAGAAGAAAAATTAAAATACTGGCGAGTTATGTACTAAAGCAAATATTAAATACAGTGTTTCATAATTACATATTTAGTAATAAATGCAAATAATTACTATTTAAACTTATTACTAATATGTAATTATGAAACACTGTTAGTCCATTCTTACACTGCTATAAACAACTGCCCGAGACTGGGTAATGTATTTTTAAAAAGAGGTTTAATTGACGCACAGTCCCGCATGGCTGGAGAGGGCTCAGGAAACTTACATACATGGCAGAAGGGGAAGCAAACACATCTTACATGGCGGCAGGCAAGACAAAGAAGAATGCATGTGTAGGGGGAACTATCAAACTCTTATAAAACCATCAGATCTCACGAGAACTCACTCACTATCATGAGAATAGCATGCGGGAAACTGCCCCCATGATCTAATCACTTCCTACCAGGTGCCACCCCCGACATGTGGGGATTATGGGGATTACAATTCGAGATGAGATTTTGCCTGGGAACACAGAGCCAAACCATGTCAAACACTTTCCATGTGCCAGGTACTATGCCATTATGCTCTTAAGATACAAAGAAACAAGAACATAAGCAGTAAGGAAGTTAACACTCTGATAGGAGGAGGATCAATAAGCAAACATAGATAAAACCACAGTGGTCTCATAGAGGCTGGTAAAGGATAGTGTAACTAAGGGACTGGAGAGGAGGAGGGTCCATTGCTGTCTCACAAAGTCAGGAAGTTCTTAAAATGAAATGGGGCTTGAGCTCAGTTCTGAAAAAAGCAAATAACATGGGAGATTACTGCTTCAGCAAGTGAGAGAAATAATTCTAGGCAATCTGTACACAGGCACAATGATGTGAGGACCTGCATCATCTTCTGGGACCTGCAGATAGCCTGATGAAGCAGAGAGTGGGAGGCAGTCAGTAGTGTGCAAGAATGTAAGCAAACACAAACCAGAGTACTCCATCTGCATTTCCACTATAAGAAGATGGCACTTTGTCCAAGAGAACAGACCCATTCAAAGTGTGATCTGTGAACTGAAGCCTATCTGCAAATTTTCTTACTGGTCCTCAATGAGATAAATAGAAAACATGAGAGAAAGCATTTAGAAACTTTTATTGAAGTTTAGTATTACCAGGAAATCCAAGTGTATAACTTGGTATTTTACAAATGTATGCATCTGAGAGAGACTAGAAATTAAAAAACAAACAACAGCAACATTAAAAACTAAATGTTTAAGGTGATGAATGTCCCAAATACCCTGATTTGACAATAACATATTATATGAAAATATCAAAATATCACATATACCCTGAAAATATACACATCTATTATGTATTAATAAAAATAAAAACTGTTCTTTCTCCATAAATAGTTTGAAAGGGCTTCTGAAATATTCTAAATCAGGGAGAAACTATTACAATAAGGCAATCATCACAATTTTATATATGAGAAATATGGGCTCAGAGTAGTAATGCAAATTGCTTAAGTTCAAATAGCAAGTAACTGAGGAACAGTCCTCTTTAACTCTGATTATATCAGATATTTACACTTTATTGTGAATTTAAGCCACCCTATGTTCTTCAAGGAAATGTTAAAAATAAATATTTTCCCTTAAAGGAATTGTAAACATAACTACTAGCCATATTGGAAAAAATATAATGAACAATAAAATATTCTTTTCAAGAAAATACACAATACACATTCTATGGCTTACCCCACCTTCTTCAAAACCATACAGATTAGAGAAAATATGTATTTCCAAAAATGTATAATCATTTTGGAAAATAAGGAGGAGACACTATGATGGACTAATGATTGTGAAAATAAGAAGGAGACACCATGATAGACTAATGAATCTTGAAAACATAAAAGCAGATGAAACATAAATAAACAATAAAATCACAGCTCAGAATCGATGAAGGATGCTATTACAGCAAAAATGGAAGATGTGGCAAGGATGCTTCTTGCCCAGAAATGGTGGATACTCATCTCCGAAAGAGAAGACACAGAGGAAAATAACAAGATTAATTGAGTTGACACAGGCAGAGTAGCCAGTCTCTTGTACATCTTGAGATAAGCAGCAGCAATAGCATGTCTTGATTATCTTAACATGGAGGCAATGGAGGGGGACTTTGCTCTGAGAACAAGGACCCAGATAGATGGCAACACTTGGGAGAAGTGGGGAGAATCTGCAAGCCACAAAACTAGCCTCAGCTGTGGACATGCCCCATGGCTACTCCCGCTAAAAACATATCAAATTAAAAGCCATATGTCCTCTGCCCCTCCACTAAGCAGGCAGTGCAGACAGAATCTAGAAAAGCATCTCAACTCCAAAAAGTATGTGTAATAAAAAAATTAATAAAATTAAGGAAAGCCAATGTATTAGTCCATTCTCACACTGCTAATAATGACACATCCAAGACTGGGTAACTTATAAAAGAAAGAGATATTGACTCACGGTTCCGCAGGGCTGGGGAAGACTCAGGAAACTTACAACCATGGGCGAAGTTGAAGCAAACATGTCCTTCTTCACATGGTGGCAGCAAAGAGAGGTGCTGAGCAAAAGGAGGAAAGCCCCTATAAAACCATCAGATCTTGTGAGAACTCACTCAGTATCACAAGAACAGATGAGCAGCTTGAGGGTATCTGCCCCCATGATTAAATTACCTCTCAATGGGTTTCTCCCACAACATGTAGGGATTATGGGAACTACAATTCAAGATGAGATTTGGGTGGAACACAGCCAAACCACATCAGCCAACATCATGAGTGAGTGATGATCCACTCAAAAAATAATACAACAAAGTAAGCAGAGTTAATAAATGTAAGCTGTAGAGGACTTTAAATTGTATTAAAATTCTGAGAGAAATAAAGAATTAGCAGAGGTCACTGAAATACATAGTGTAATTTTTAGTACAAAATACAACTTCAGTTGTTGAAATGAATAACAGAATGGAGTTAGATGAGGGAAAATTAGCTTATTGGTTGAATGAGGCAAGAAGTGTTCTCAGACTACAGCATAAAAATATGCATATATGACATTCAAAAAATTCTCATGCAGGATGGGTTGAGAGTTTTTAAAATCATTTCAGTAGGAGTTTGAGAAAGAAAGAATAGATACAATGAAGAGAAAGAAAGCAGAATTTCCTAAAACTGAAGAAATATACAAGTTTTGAGATTGATGAGGTCTATTAAGGACTCAATAAAAATAAATTTCAAAAGAAAACCCTCACAAAAACAAACGAGTTTAAATAAGATAAAGTAAAAAAATAATAATAATAAAGGAAAAACCTTAGAACTTATTCAGTGTGAGAGAAGAGGAAAAATATCTATATTACCTACAAATATATGAAACTCAAACTGCCATCATCAACAATGCTTAAGAAGAATGGGCAGGATAAGCTGAGGGTGAATATTTTAACTAGTACCATAAACCCAGCCAAATGACTATTCAATGAGATTGAAATTCAGACATTTTCAGAAATACAGAGACTCAGTAAGATTACCACTACAGAGTTCTCAGAGAATACTGCTGCAAATGAAATATAGTTGTAAGGGGTAGAATAGGGATGTGAATAGCATTAATGGATGAAGTAATAAATAAAACTTCAGTTTACATAAGTAATGATTAAAAATTAGATGATATATGGGAATGTGGAAAGAAGTTAACTCATGTACATATGAAAATTTAGTAGGTTGTAACAATGGGCTGTCAAAATAAGTTACATAATAAATGGTATTGTTCACCCACATGGAAATATGTACACATCAAAATTCCTAATAAAGCCTATATGAAATTGACAAACACCTTTTTTAGAACAAAACTATAACTTCTTAGGTAATAATCTAGAAAACTATGTTTTAAATTTGAAATGGGTTAATCTATGCACAAAAGCTTAACAAATAAAAATATGTACACATGTAACTATGTATTTTAATAAAAATGCCATGGAAGTAATAGACTATCCAAAATATTTGAACTAAATGGAACAAATAAAGCAATTAACATTCAAATTATATGAATAACTACTAATAAGAAAAAAGACAATAAAAGTTAAGAGTAAGGATGAGGGCCAGGCGTGGTGGCTCACGCCTCTAATCCCAGCACTTTGGAAGGTCGAGGCGGGTGGATCACGAGGTCAGGAAATCGAGGCCATCCTGGCCAACATGATGAAACCCCGTCTCCACTAAAAATACAAAAATTAGCTGGGCATGGGGCACACACCTGTAATCCCAGCTACTTGGGAGGCTGAGGTAGGAGAATCGCGTGAACCCGGGAGGCGGAGGTTACAGTGAGCGGAGATCGCACCACTGCACTCCAGCCTGGCGACAGGGTGAGACTCTGTCTCAAAATAATAATAATAATAATAATAAATAAGATAAGGATGAGAACAGAGTATTATCTGAAGAGGGAACATGTCCGATTGATAAATATTGTTTAACCACACTTGTAATCAGAAAAATGTAAATTTAAGTACCAATTGATCTTTTTTGAATGTAAGATTTGTGAAAAAAAAAGTGTGCTAATACGAAGTGTCAGTAAAGGGTACAAGAAATTAGAATTTTGAAACAATGTAGTGGAAGTATGAATTGGAAAGCCATTTTAGATGACAATGTACAGATATCGATATTTGATTTCAATTGTTGACATACTCTGTAGAGGAACACACACATGCATGTGTATCCAAGAGAACAAACACGGACATTTACAGCAACATTGTTTGATGATATAGTAAATGTTTTACATTTGAAAGTGTTTGTTTTGACTGACTCACAGAATTTAATTGTTCCAAGGAGCATAAAGGTGAGCCCAGACTTCAGGTAGTGAATACAAAAACCCATATTTCCAGATGGCAGCCTCATCTTTTATCTTCTGGAACAGTCTTATAAACCCAAAGGAAGCTAGGTAGCTATACTCTTAAACTGGGAAAGCAGAAGTATGTTTTATCCCCAGCTATATTATCCTGGACAAGTAATTAAACTTCCCATCGATGCCTTCTTCAATTGAGGCATTTCATCCTGAACTGTAATTTTAAATTATTATAAACTCTCTTTTATGAAAAACTCTGTAAAAAAGAAACTCAAAACATTTTCTTGTCAGATTACCTGCTTTTAAAAGACTATGTAAATATTTACAGCAGACCGTATCTATTTATCTTCTCTGAAAATGTCATAGTATTTCTCCAAAATATATTTCTTCTTTATTGATTTATCTTTGTAATTCCTTCCCATTTGTTTTTAGTTTAACTGCCTGATATATTTCATCTGCACAGGACTTTCAGTTATAATAGAAAAATGCAAAAGGAAAATAAATATCAGCTACAATATTGTAGATACCTGAAACAGACATAAAACTTGAGATACAGAAAATAAAAATAATTTGTGGGTAAGGCAATATATTTTTGTATCATTGAAATAATGCAAAATAGTCACATTTGGTGGAAAATAAACAGGAAAATACTTTCATCTGTAAGTTTTGTCAGTCAGTGTAATACTTCCAAATTGGCGTTAAAATTATCCATGGTTTATTTCTTCATTTATTCAACAACTTTTGACTAAATCTATATCATGAACAAAAGGCCATGCCACTCAAAGCATATTTATTTCTTTAGCATGAGTGAGGGAAATAAGAAATAGGGTTATGATTTTATCCAATGCTAATTCATGAAACGAAATATTTTTGAGGATCTTTATGTGCCAGTTACCTAAATATGAGCACAGCAGTGAATAAAACAGACAATTTTGTCCTCATGCTGATTATATTCTCATGCATCAAGAAATGTGAAAATTGTTATATTAAGTTAAAATATTTGAATTTGTGTTTCTCACATGACTAGCATTAGAATAATATAATTAATGTAGTGTATTTAGTGCCAAATCTTATAATAATTATATATAATTAAAAGCAATATATATTGCTTTTTATATTGAACTTAGCGCTAAATCTTATAATAATTATATATATATAATTTAAAAGCTAAATATATATGTATACATATATTGCTTTTTTTCCCCTCAGTATTTTGTCTTCTTAAGGACAAGGCATTAACTTGCTCCCTGGCCTATTGAAATAACTGGCACATATAAGGAATTCAGTAAGGTTTGTTAAACAAGTATTCAATCTCTATGCACCTCCATTTCTTTAATTACAGATATGTAGATAATAATGATAGTAATTATAGTTATGTCAATGTTTATATGGTTGTGAAGAATAACATATTGTATTGAAAAATATTTACATGATGTCAGGCCTAAGAGGCTCATTTTTTTTAGCCAAATTTTAAAATATTTTAAAATCATTATTACAAACAGAAACTCGGTGATGATGAATCCTAAGCAAGAGAAAAATATGCTTTTAGCATATCTTTTCAACTTTCACTTATGTATGTTTCAGAGAGGGAAAAGTGCTATGTCCCCTTACCCATTTTTTTTAAATCTAAATGTAGTTTTATTCCTGATGGTCAAATTTGAGTATTCATATTTCTTTCCTTTCATGAGTATATATTTTTGTATAATTTTTAAACAATGTTTGTATAATATAGAGAGAATTTTAATGCTAATAATCATGCCAGATATATTTTTTCTTTAATTAAAAAGATGCTCTTCTATACAGTAGTGAAATTCTTTAGTAATTCTCTTCTTTTTGAAAACAAACCATATTTCAGAGGGGGAAAAAAACATGTTATACTCTGAATTCATACACGATAAGAAATTCATTCCACAAGTGGAGTAAGACCTTTAAAAGACCTTTATCTACCTCACAGAATAAATTTGATATGCCTTACAGACCATTATGCGAACTCTCCCTCACTCTGCATGCAGATAGAACCATCTCTTGAAAGTGCTAACACTATAATTTCTATTCAGGTGATGAAATTGTAATAAAAAACAGTTTATTATGCTACATTTGTATATGATTACATATTAGATGGTAGAAAGTTAACATTTATTTTTCTTCTACTAATAATCATTTTTTCAACAACTAATAAATCCAAGAAGCTTGAAAACGTGTTTAAACTAGAAGATCCATTCTGTAGGGCAGTATGCCCTGCTGGTGGTGCTGCTGAAACTGTTCAGGAGCTAAGCTAAGTATTTACATGTTCCTATGCAGAAACCTACACAGGTTTCCTGTGTATACGTTTTGTAGTATAAGAATTATTTATTTACTAACTAAATACTTGGATATATATCTTACTCATTTAAAATGCTGTTGAATTTCAATTTGTTCATTTTCCTACTCAATTATGTCTTTCTAACAAGATAAATATTTTCAAGACCTTAATAAATAAGGAAGAATTATAAGATTAACACAAGTAGAACTCATCCTCTGCCTATTAAAATGAACAACTTGACAAGAGTTATGAGGTACTTGAATTTGGTGAAATCAGATTTCTAATTAAGTAAAACAGCTCTATGATGGAATCTACAAAATCAATTTGTTAAATCATTACATTTTAGAGCTAGAAAGGGATAGGAACCATCTTTTTAATACATTGATTTTTTAGAGATGAGGAAACTGATACAGTTAAATAACACACCTGATATTTCCTGTAGCCAGGGGAAGACTTGAAATTTAGAAACTAGATGACCTTCCCCTAATTGAAATGGTCTTTACATTGATCTTTACCTGATCAAATTGTCTTATCTTTAATTAAGAGCAACATCTAACTTGTTAGAAAACATTTATGTGCCAAATAGCCAAGAGAATCAGGCATCCAAAAAGCTGCTAAATTGAGAAAAATTACATAAGCTTACAGTCAGAGGAACATGTTATATTACATTGTGTGTGCATTAATATCAATGAGAATTCAATACCAAGATCAAATGTACAATATGCTGTCAAATGTTTAATAATTCTTCTGTGTCTAATTAAGTCTAAGAAAGCTGCACTTATGAGTGAGTCATTGTAATTTCATATTAAGTACAATATAATGAACTGGTATAAATAGGATAACATTGAACAGCCAATGACTTAAGCTGATTGTCTGAAAGCAGGTTTCATGTTTCCACAACCTTTTAATATCAACTTAGGCTTCTGTAGAAGGCAGAAAGAAAAGAGAAATACTATACTTGGTGCCGCATGAAGTGGAGCTGGATATTCATGGGCCTTAAGTGATCAATATCTTTATCACATCTGTGTAAATGTTGTGGGCAAGTACAATTAAAGAGCAAATCCCTGGATCAGCTGGCTAAGTTAAATTTCAGTTCCAGAAGCAGATGATTTCACTGGAGGGCACTTGTTAGGGAACACAGGAAAAGACTATAGGAGATGGACGTTTCAAAGCCAATGTATAGGTTAATAATGGGGACTCTGGAATCAGAACAGCTAGGTTCAAAACTGTTCCAACATTGCCCAGTTGTATGATGTCACGTAAGTCACTCGCCCTCTCTGGGCACTGGTTTTTCCATCTGCCAAAGGTCATATTTTCTTCACAGGGCTATTACAACTTAAAAAAAAACGCATGTAAAAAAATTCTAGAAGAGTGTCTACCTCTTCAAATACTGAAAGGGAAGCTTTCTTAACATTTCCTTTCTAATGAAGACAGTCACGCTACTGGCATCCCACCTGCATAAGTTCTGGGAATCATCATCATAGAATACTTTCTGGAAAAGGATTAGGCCTGTTTGGGTTAATCAGCCCCTAAACGTCATCTCCTGAATAGCTTTTATAGAAACTTGTTGTAAAAATAAATTTTTGTGTAGACCTGGAAACACAAAAATACCCAAAGTACAAAGCTATAGATAATTTCCTAAAATGCCTCCTGTGCTTTAAAACATAATTAGGCTCATAATTACTAAGTGTAAACATATCTATCTCCCTGAAGAAACTACACTGCAATGAAAGATGAAAGCTAAGAGGAAAACACTAAGTTTTCATTAAAATTCTGATTTATTATAATTTTGTTGACAATACAACATGAATGAATTTTCTATTTAATGCAGAGTCTAAACACCTACTCAGGAGAGAGGAGAAGAGTTACTGTTGTTGTTAGTTGTTTCTCAGTTGGCAGAATGTCCCAGACCCAGTCTCTAGGCACAGCTTGGATCCCTCTTCTGTCTTGTCATAACTTAATAATGGTGATGACCAAGATACTCGTAAGTCCATGAAAATTCCACGTTAATCCTCACATCACATTTCGGTTATTATCCCTTATGTTTACAAAATAATGCTTTATGTTTTCTAAAGTTAAATATAAGAACATTCTTACCATCCATCTCTATTCTACTGATTGTCTAAATCATGTGTTTAAGCTGACTGACTCCGAAAGATGAACAGATAAAACTTGATTTATTTTCCATAGGCATCTCTTTCAGAGGTGTTGCTCTAAGACATTTCCAGACAGAGAAGGACCATTCTTTGGTCAAAGATATTTCAGTAGCTGAGATACAGTTCGGAATAGTGATATTTTCAAACAAGCTTCTAAGTTTCCTAAGATCTTTTTTCAATGCAACATCCCCAAACAAAAACAGAGTTCACTAAGCAAGGTGGTTTACTGACATTTATGCAATCAAGGCGCTAATATCTTAACTGAATTTCTAAGGTATAGTAGAGCCCTTTCCTTTCCAATACAGTTTCATATTATAACAACATCCAGACTTTCTATGTAATTCAGCTTTGCAGTGGAGGACAACATAATAGATGAGATTGACCGAAGTCTGGAATGAAGTCTGTACATTTAACTATCCAATAAATTATATATGTAATAAATATACATACACATTAGTGTGATACACCTATCTAATATGCACACATAAACATACATTAAATACACATACATACAAACTAGGCAAATAATGTTGTTTCTGATATGATATAAATTCTTTTTCTTTCAAATTCACCTAATCTTCACTACTATGATCATGTTCTTTTTCCATATATATCAAGAAGTGTATTTTTTCACAGTTCTGAATATTTGTAAATCATCTCTCTTTGGTTGCCATTGTTCATAGTTTATTCCCAGTACCCACACTTTTATCAGTTAATTTCTGTGGTGGTTTATTCTTTCCCATATATGCTACAGAATGTCTGTCTGCTGTATTAATCTAATGCTTCAGGAGTGGTGTTTCCTTTTTTCTTCAGTCTTGGTGCACTGTTTTATGTCTGTATTTCATCTCTCATCCACAGTGTTCTATCTACCACACTGAGGCATGGGGAGGATTATTTTGTACTCTCTTGGGCTGAAAAGTAACTTTCTTTTTGAGGTCTAAGTTGAAAACTGATTCCTCCTTTATGCAGCACCATGACACTCTTGTGTGATGCTGTTAAATACTCTCCCTGGTTGTTGTAGCTCAGAGGACAGCCTTTTGACCATTTCATGCCTACTATTGGGTGGAATAGACGTTTACAGATATTACCCCATTTTATCCCCACAAGAGGTATACACAGCAAGAAACACATTGAGCTAGATTAAATCAATTGCCTGAGGTCACGTATCTAGTAAATTGCAGAACCAGGACTCAAACAAAGGTCTTTTGACTTTAAATCCCTTGGTCTTTCCATTATACTATATTGCCCTCTATTGAGTTAGTAATTCATCATGATACATACATTGTAGTAAAAATAAAATGGGGGTGAATAATTGTTTATATGTTTTATTTCTGAAAGACAAGATGGCCTATTTTCTTTAATGCTGATTAAAAATCAACTGAATTTTACAAATTATAAACATTTGGCTGCTTAGCTTTTTCTGATCAAGTCCTTAATATAGCAGAATTAAATGATTTGCATAATTCAAATACTTCTATCTTGAACAAACAGGGTTATTTAGACTACATGGCAAGGCAATAGTGTAAAGGTGGAGTTAAAATTTAATGTTTTAAACTATGGATTTAAAAAATTACACTCAAAACAGAAGTAGTATTACAAATTTATAATTTATAGTTCAGTAAATTTTTAAAACTTATTTTATAAAATTGAAATGCTCTCCTACTCTCCCCATTGTAAATAAAGTATATAATAATATCCTCTAAGTAAAGTGTTACTCATCAGGAGAATTGGCTATTCTTTAAATCAATGATTATTTTCTGCTTAACAGAAAAGTGCATTCCTTCTGAAAAGGCAAATGAAACCTGAATTTTACTTCAAATTAATGTTTGCATTTTTGTTACAGTTGGTATTTGTATTGAAGTAATATACATGATCAATTAGGGAACCCCTGAAAGATTATTTTTGCTTTTTAAATGATTGACTATAATCAGCCTATGAAAGACAGAATTCCTATAAATCTGTTCCTCTATAAAGCCATTTTCTTCTCCCCCTTCTGTCTCCTCTCCCTCCCTTGCTCTCTCCTTTCCTTCGCCATATCCTCCTTCCCTTTTCTTCCCTTCCTTACCCCTCCCTCCCTCCCTCCCTCCCTCCATTCCTTCCTTCCTTTCCTTCCTTCCATGTTTCCTTCCTACCTCCCTCCCTTCCTCCTTCCCTTTCTCCTTACTTCCTTCTTACTTTCTTAACCAAAAGTAGTATTCAGTAGGACCTGTCAGTATCTTGCCTTATGCAATCCTCCACCCTAATTCACCATGCACACTAGTAAGAACCTGTATTTCTAGAAAGCACAAGTAATGCATTACCTCAGTGGGCTATGCAAGCACTTTAGCATTCTGGTAAGAAAGTATTTAAATGTTCGCATGGTGGCAGAGCCTAATGAGTTAAATGTTGATGCTGCTCTTCCCCACACAATGTACAGCCAAAGGCTCTTTGCTGAGTGCCCACCTGTGAAAGCCAGTAGGCTATATTATGGCAAACATGCATTCAGAGAGAATTTTCATTTAGGTATAATATGGTAAATACTTTGTGTTATTTCCAATTAGAAACAACATGAGAAAGTATGTTTCTCATTACATTTTCAATTTACTCAAGTGTGTGAATATGCCAAAGGAGTAGCTGAATGTAAAGGAAGGGCTAAGAATTAAGAATGGCCAGCGAAGCAGGTGAGTAAGAATTACTTTCATTTCTCCAGGTTGATAAGATCTTTCAAAATATGTGAATCCAGTTTCTTATGCAGACAAACACCACATCTTTGAAATATCATATTGATACCCCTGATGAAACCATTCAAGTCATCAGGAAATCCTATAGTGTATTCTCTATTCACATTATATTCAGAATTTCAAGTTTGAATAAGGATTAGGAAGAGCTATTATGCCTGTTTCCCCTCCTTTTGTTCTGTATACTTTCTATTTGGGCATTCTTCATAGTTGCGTTTTACGAAGAAAGATAATCCTTTTCAAATCCCATTGTCTCTATTCTTCTTTCTGCTGCATGCAAATGCTTATTTACACCAATAGTGCTTATAAAAGTCTTCTATTTTAGAGTTCAGCTGATACTTTAAATTTTACTCTCTTTTTTGGTAAAAATTATTTCTTCTTTCTCTTTTCTCTGATAGGCTATTTCAACAAGCAGACCCTATGAATCATTTCTCCCTTATTATTATCCTGATTATATCACACTGGGCAGTACTTCCCTGTAGTCTTTGCCTCATGTTCGAGTATTTTATACTGGCACAAATCAAACAGTGTGACAAATTGCAGAGAACTCTGTCTTCAGATTTGGCATTGCTGTCCCAAACTTGGAACATCCTGACAATGAGACAGTGCTCATAGCCTCCTGCTGGCTGCCAATTATGTGTGATTTTCTTGGCAATTTGTTGCCAAGAAGTTGTGATCTGTTGAAGAATAAGATATATTGATTGCCACTTTGGGAGGCCGAGGCGGGCGGATCACGAGGTCAGGAGATCGAGACCATCCCGGCTAAAACGGTGAAACCCCATCTCTACTAAAAATACAAAAAATTAGCCGGGCGTAGTGGCGGGCGCCTGTAGTCCCAGCTACTTGGGAGGCTGAGGCAGGAGAATGGCGTGAACCCGGGAGGCGGAGCTTGCAGTGAGCCTAGATCCCGCCACTGCACTCCAGCCTGGGCGACAGAGCGAGACTCCGTCTCACAAAAAAAAAAAAAAAAAAAAAAAAAAAGATATATTGATTGCAAGTAGACCAGTTGTTTTGTTAGACATAAAAACGGTCACACTGAGCTTTAAGAGAGATCCATGTATTAGCCATTATATTAATTACCAACTTAAAAAATTAGACAAAAAAGACTACTTTTGTTTTTCTTACATTGCAGTGACAGGGTTCCTTCATATGAGGTCCCAGAGCATTATCCAGACATTATCTTACTTATTCTTGTAATATTCTTTCAAGGTCAAGGAGAGATATTGCCAACTCTATTTTATAAGTGAAGGGTTCTTGGCAAGGAGGAGGTTTGGCAAACACAGAGAAGATTATGTCAGGTCCTGTTTGACACATAGTTGGGAATGTCTTTATGTAGAAAACTCTATTCTATCACAACACCTCTCCTCAGAAATGTATGCAGGTTTTAATTGCTGATATAAATGGAGCCATGATTTCACATTAAATAAACAAACACATATTTGCCTATTATGTGCAAGGCTCTGTACTAAGCCATTTTAGGAAGATTTTATTTCCAAGCATAGACAGGCTAGGATTTTGCTGACTTTCATTTTGTAGTTAAGTATTTTCTCTACATGTTTTTATTTGGACAACATTTTTCTAGTTTTGTTTTTCCTTCCTTTGAGCTTACTGATGGTATTCCATTTAAATTTATTAAACAAAAATGTTATTTTAAGGAAGATATATTTTTATTTTTATACATTCATGAAGCTATTTATATCTTATTTGTTTATAAATTTTCAAAAAATTGAAAATTAGTAATGAATATTGACATTCAAGGAGAGCATAAATCATGAGGCAATGTTCTCCTATACGCTTTTTAAGCAGAATTTAATAATGAATTAATTTGGGACCAAAAAGACCTGTAAAGATAGTACTGAGAACACTTGCACTCCCATTCCCTTCTCTTAGCTTCCCCTAATGGTAATATCTCACATAACTATGGTGCATTTATGAAATTAACATGGGTACAGCACTATTAACTAAATTGTAGACTTTATTCGAATTTCACCAGTTTTTCGATTCCAGGATCATATCCAAGATTCTGCATTGTTTTTGTCACATCTCCTGCTTGCCAAAGATCTTTGACACTTTCTTTGTTTTTTATGACTTTGATCATTTTGAAACATGACTTTTTTAATCTAAAAAATAATATATAGTTTATGTCTGTAGTCTAAATGATGAAATGTACTTATTTATATTAAAAACTTTTTGTTTAACTCTTTCCCCTTCTCATTAATTCTCATACCCATCTGAACTCTGTTTAGTTTCCTTTCATTATAGTAAGTACAAGAAAAATTTTAAAGATAAAAGAATTGGCAAAATTACACTAATTATAGAATTTTTTTACTAGGAGGTGCTATAACTTCCAAGATCCCCCTTAAAAGAGAAGATGGGGCTGGGCGCGGTGGCTCACGCCTGTAATCTCAGCACTTTGGGAGGCCGAGGAGGGTGGATCACGAGGTCAGGAGATCGAGCCCATCCTGGCTAACACGGTGAAACCCCGTCTCTACTAAAAATACAAAACCAAAATTAGCCGGGCGTGGTGGCGGGCGCCTGTAGTCCCAGCTACTCCGGAGGCTGAGGCAGGAGAATGGCGTGAACCCGGGAGGTGGAGATTGCAGTGAGCCGAAATCGCGCCACTGCACTTCAGCCTGGGCAACAGAGCGAGACTCCGGCTAGGAAAAAAAAAAAAAGAGAGAGAGAGAGAAGATGTGGGCCGGTCGTGGTGGCTCATGCCTGTAATCCCAGCACTTTGGGAGCGAGGCAGGGGGATCACGAGGTCAGGAGATCGAGACCATCCTGGCTAACACGATGAAACCCCGTCTCTACTAAAAAAAAAACAAAAAATTAGCCGGGCGTGGTGGCGCGCACCTGTAGTCCCAGCTACTCCCAGCACCTGTAGTCCCAGCCTGAGGCAGGAGAATGGCGTGAACCCGGGAGGCGGAGCTTGCGAGCGAGATCGTGCCACTGCACTCCAGCCTGGGCAACAGTGCGAGGCTCCGTCTCAAAAAAAAGAGTCAAGAGAAAGTGAGTTGCCCAAGGTGCCATGGCTATATAGTGACAGAGGAGGACTAACCATGATGACATCTACATTCACGTGTGTCACTTCATAGCTGACAAATTTCCCATGTGGGCATGACTTCCTTTGATTTTTACAAAAATTCTTTGTTCTTGGAACATACGAGGCAGGCATCTACCTGAGAAATTTAACTCTAGCTGTTTCATCATTCTAGATCGTTCTTCTCACAGATGTCTTCTTGACTAATCGTCTCACTGCTTTCAAGTATTTGGGCTAATCTCAACTTCTCCTTGACACTTAGCCTGATGACTTACTTAATGTTCAATCTGCCAAGTACCTGCCCTCAACACTCCTAACCCCTCTTTCCCTGGTTGAATTTTTATAGTTTAAGGATATTTTTACCTAATGTTTACCTTATTTAGTAAGCTTATTTTTATGTTGTCTGTTTACCTTTCTAGTTAAGCTCTGAGAGGGCAGGGTTTTTTGTTTGTGCATTGATGAATTTGAGGCAACTAGTATAATATCATAGATGTAGTAGATGCTCAATAAATGTTTGTTATATAAATAACTGGAGATACAAACCAAGATAATTCTTGGTTATATTACACATGAAGTCCAGAGAATGTAGAGCTTTGCCCACCATCACACTGCCAGTAATGGTGCATTTTGGAAGGGAACCATTTTATCACTTAAAAATACAGAACACAGACTGGTCAGTCTTTCTGTAGAACCTGAGGGCAATCAACAAGTATTAACAAAGCTGGTCTCAGGAGAGACATCCTGGAACATAAAGAAACTTATTATTTCCTTTCTGAAATCCGTAAATAATGGGTCTACCTTTCATATGTGAATGCTGATATGTCAATATCAATACCCTGCTTTCCTCTATGTATTTTTATATCCTCTGTAAGAGAAAGCACATGTTTAAATACACATACATGCAATCAATACTTTTAAAGGTCATTTAAGTGACCATATTCCATAAACATTTGTATAAAGTGAAAAAAGTTTGGAAAAAAGAACAATACTAGCAATTGTTTCTAGAATATCTAGAATTCATGAGAACACATCAGGCATTTTACTTACATTATCTAATTTAATATCCCTGCCATAAAGATAATCAAATAAATAACCTGTTGCTTACAAAGAGTAAATATATCATCCAAGTTCACCCATGAAGTGACAGAGCCAAAATCCAACCATTAGTCTGACTAACAGTGCAAGAAGCCACACATAAGAGACTTTGGATCTCTCTGTTATAGCCTTTGCTTCTCTCTTCTATACATGCTTGTTTGTCGTTCAAAGAAATCAAAGCAGTAACAATTCCAATGGTAATTTCCATACAGCATTTGAACTTTTTAAATGGGCATATCGCCTATATTAATAATTGAATTATCTTTTTAAATTTTTTTATAATTTCAACTTTTATTTTAGATTCAGGGAGTATATGTGCAGGTTTGTTACATGGGTATAGTGCATGATGCAGAGCTTTGGGGTACTATTGATCACATTACCCAAGTAGAAGGCAAAGTACCAAATAGTTTTTCAACTCTTGACCTCCTCCCTCCCTCCCCTCTCTAGTAGTCCCCAGCATCTATTGTTGCTATCTTTATGTCCATGAATACCCAATGTTTAGCTCCCACTTATAAGTGAGAATATGTGGTATTTTTCTATTCCTGCATTAATTCACTTAGGATAACTGCCTCCAGCTCCATCCATGTTGCTGTGAAGGACATGATTTTGTTGATTTTTATGGCTGTATAGTACTCCATGGTGTTTATGTACTACATTTGCTTAATGCAGTTCACCACTGATGGGCACCTAGGTTGATTCCATGTCTTTGCTATTGTAAATAGTGCTGCCATAAACATAGAAGTGCATGTATCTTTTTGGGAGAATAAATTATTTTCCTTTGGATATATACCCAGTAATAGGATTGCTGGTCTGGATGGTAGTTTTGTTTTAAGCTCTTTGAGAAATCTGCAAACTGCTTTTCGCAGTGACTGAACTAATTTGAATTTTCACCAACAATGTATAAGCAGTTCCCTTTTCTCTGCAACCTCACCAGCATCTGTTGTTTTTTGGTTTTTTAATAATAGCTGACTGGTGTGAGGTGTATCTCATTGTGGTCTTGATTTGCATTTCTCTTATGATCAGTGATGCTGAGCAGTTCTTCATATGTTAGTTGGCTGCTTGTATGTCTTCTTTTGAGAAGTGTCTGATCATGTTTTTTTCACTTTTTAATGAGGTTATTTTTTGCTTATTAAGTTCCTTATAGATTCTGGATATTAGATCTTTGTTGGATGCATAGTTTGTGAATATTTTCTCCCATTCTGTAGGTTTTCTGTTTACTTTGTTGATAGGTTCTTTGGCGGTAGAGAAGCTCCTTAGTTTAATTATGTCCCACTTATCAATTTTTGCTTTTGTTGCAATTGCCTTTGAATACTTAGTCATAAATTATTTCCCAAGGCCAATGTCTAGAATGGAATTTCCTAAATTTTCTTCTGAAATTCTTATATTCTGAAGTCTTACATTTAAATCTTTAATCCATCTTGAGTTAGTTTTTGGTTATGGTGAAAGGTGGGGGTCCAGTTTTATTCTTCTGCATATGGGTAGCCAGTTATCCCAGCACCATTTATTGAATAGGGAGTCCTTTCCTCATTGCTTATTTTTGTTGGCCTTGTTGAAGATCAGATGGCTGTAGGTGTGGGGCTTTATTTCTAGGTTTTCCATTCTGTTTCATTGGTCTGTGTGTCTGTTTTCATACCAGTACAGTTTGAAGTCATGTAATGTGATGCCGCTGGCTTTGTTCATTTTGCTGAGGATTGCTTTGGCTATTCGAGCTCTTTTTTGGTTCTATATGGATTTAAGAATAGTTTTTTCTACTTCTGTGAAAAATTACATTGTTAGTTTGATAGGAATAGCTTAATATATACACAATGGAATATTATTCACTCTTTAACAAGAAGAAAACCCTATCATTTGTGACAGCCTGGACAATCCCAGAGGACATTATGTTAAGTGAAATAAGCCAGGCACAAAAGGACAAACACCACATGATCTCACATATGTGGAATATTATAAAGGCAAAATCATAAAAGTAAAGAATAGAAATGGGGGCTACCAGAAGCTGGGAAGAGAAGTGGGATTAGAATATTTTGGTCACAGAGTAGAAAATTGCAGTTAGAAGGGAGACATTAGTTAAAGCATTTTATTATACAACATGGTGTCTATGGTTAATAACAATGTACTATATGTTTGAAGACTGCTAAAAGTATATTTTAAGTGTTCTCATCACAAAAATATTAGTGTGTAAAATAAGGCATATGATAATTAGCTTGATTTGTCCATTCCACAATGTATTTATTTCAAAACATTGCGTTGCACACAGTAAATACATACAATTTTTATTTCTCAACTAAAAAATTATAATCCTAGATAGCACATATATTATCAGAATTTACATTTTTTTAAACAAAGATTAAGAAAGAGGTTGTGAGTTGATCATCCCCTTATTTGGCAAACTTTTGTTGAGTACCTACTACATGGTAGATACTGTGACCATTTAAGCCCTAACTATTTTTTTAAGAAGTGTCCTAGGTGCTCTTCAGCAGGAAACAAAAGATAAAGCCTCTACTCTTTCAGAGGAAGTGTGAAGAAAGACAATAAACAGGCAAAAAAATAAAAATTCAAGTACTTGTTGGTGCTAAGAAAGCAATAAGACTAGCTAATGAGTTAGACAATAGCTAGGAGACCCTATGGGTCAAGGGCAGCCTCTCCAAGTGTCTTCCCTGTGCTACATCTCAGTATGTGATAAGGCTTAAGGTTCAGTTGTCCTGAGGCTTAATTCAGCAATAAACAACTTGCCTCACAGAATTTACTTTATCTCATTACAATTTAAGTTCACTCAAGTTCTACTTTTTTTTCACTTCTTTGTACAAATAATATTGAGAGAATAAAGTCAGTTGTAATTCAAGTAACTGGATATCTACTACTCAAAAAAAAAAGATATTTCTTGTACCAACACATTATTTCCTGGATGTTACATATTTTGACTTGCCCAGATCCAGGAAAGACAGAAACTTTCAGAGGTTTTCCTAATATAACAGTTCATACCCTCCCTGAGCAGGAAGATGTCTAGATAGATCCCAGTGGACTACTCTAGGCTTATATGAATTTCTGTATTCTGACCTAGTCCTTGCCTAGCCTCCCTCAGTAGACTTGGCTATTATAGCACCCAGCATTTGTTTTCTAAACCTTATTGAATTAAAAAGAGAGAGACTCTAAGTGACAAGCTGAACTAGAGTGAATGGCAAGGTCATGATACCAGACTGAGTTATGACATTTAGGTTATTTGTGTGAGGCTGAACTCTTAGCCAACCTCTGAGGGACTGAGGGACTTATCTGAGACACTTGTCTATAATCTAATATTGCCTTTGAAGGAAGTAATAGAAAAATTTCAGAATAAATGTGTCTTTAATCACGCATGAGGAAGTCAGGAGATCATTGAATGGGAAAAAGACTAGCATCGGAGATATATATAGCTGACCCTGAACAACACTAAGTTTGAACTGTACAGATCTGCTTATATATGGATTTTCTTCTGACTCTGCCACCTCTGAGACGAAAAGATCGACTCCTTCTCTTCCTCCTCCTCCTCCTCAATCAATGTATAGAGAGAATGAAGACCTCTATGATGCTCCACTTCCACTTAATTAATAGTAAATATATTTTCTCTTCTTTATGATTTTCTTTATAACGTTTTCTTGTCTTTGGTTTACTTTATTGTAAGAATATAGTATATAATACATGAAATATGTGTTAATTGACTGTTTATGCTATTGATAAGGCTTCTGGTCAATGGTAGGCTATTAGTAGTTAAGTTTTGGGGGAGCCAAAGTTATACTCATGTGTTCATCTGTGCAAGGATTGGCATTCTTAACCTTCACGTTGTTCAATGGTCAACCAAGTTTCAATAATATCTATATCTGTAAAAGAATTTATAATTAGTGGCCCTCTATTAATAACAAGATGGAATGTAAGAAACAAGAACAAAGTAAATAATGATACGTGCACTTTTTGGCTGCTTTATATCATATAAGTATACTGGATATTCTTCGTATCAATTTCAGATTATGCTGCACTTATTTGGCACCAACTATATGATAGGCTCTATGGTAAGTGCTGGAGATACAAAAATAAATAATAAATGATAACTGAACAATACAATTCTGGTGGTAGAAATGTGTATAAACATGTAATGTCACTACAATGTGGTGAACAGTATAATAAAAAATATACACAGACTGCTCTAGAAGCAAATAATATAGGAGGTTAAGGAGAATCATCTGGGTAAAATGATGTCTGAGCTAACTATTTCAGAGCCTGTCTCATTTCCCGTCCTCTGTCTTTTCCAGTTCCTCATAACTAGATACACAGATGCCCTTCTTCATTTCAGTGATCCCTGAGTTATTAGTATCATATTAACTATGTTCAGGAGCATATCAACTGTTCCAGATTGTTTCATGAGATGCTCTAACACTGATGCTGTGGAGTGTAAATTCTGTCCTTCTCCATGTCGAGTACACAAGTGAGGAGTCTGTAGCTCCTCTTGTTTCCCAAGTATTGGGATAAAAGTGTCCACATTTCAAATCCTGAATTCTTGTACTAAAATGCCTCTATGTGGATAACTGGAAGTCAGAACCTGCTTGTTTTTTTTAATTATAAGAGACCTTTGGTGTAGCCTGTTTACAGAAGGCATATGGTAAATAGAGGAAGAGAATCAGATTTAGATTTAGGCAAATATGGGGGTCCATTCTAGCTTTGCAATCTGTCATTCTTTTATCCAGAGATAATTTGTTGAGAACTCAGTAAATGCCAGCCACATTGTCAGGCACTGGGAAAATTATTGGAAATAAGACGAAGTCTTTTTGCATCTAGGATTCAATTTTCTAGAAGTGGGGCAATGGAAAATAAATCGAAGAAAACAACGATGTATTAGTTTGCTAGGGCTGACACAACAAAGTAGCATAGCCTGGGTGGCTTAAACAAGGAACTTTATTTCATCACAGTTCTGGAGGCTAGAATTTCAAGATCAAGATGTCAGCAGAGTTGGTTTCTTCAGAGGGCATCTCTCCTTGGCTTATAGATGGCCATCTTCTCTTCTTGTCTTCACATGGTCTTTCCTCTGCGTGTGTCTGTGTCCTAATCTCTTCATTATTAACATTGGATTAAGACCCTCTCATACAACCTCATTTTACCTTAATTCCCTCTTTAAAAACTCTATCTCCAAATACATCCACATTTGGAAGTTGACATGGTTTGGCTGTGTCCCACCCAAATCTCACCTTGAACTCCCATGTGTTGTTGGGGGGGACCCTATAGGAGGTTACTGAATCATGGGGGCAGGTCTTTCCCATGCTGTTCTCATGATAGCCAATAAGTCTCACAAGATCTGGTGGCTTTAAAAAGGGGAGTTTCCCTGCACAAGCTCTCTTTGCTTGTCTATTGCCACATGAGACGTGCCTTTCACCTTCTGCCATGATTGTGAGGCCTCCCTAGCTATGTGGAACTGTAAGTCCATTAAACCTCTTTCTTTTGTAAATTGCCCAGTCTCAGGTATGTCTTTATCAGCAGTATGAAAGCAGACTAACACAGAAGTATTGTGGGTTAGGACTTCAACAAATGAATGTGGGGAGGGGGGTGGACACAATTCAGCCCATGAAGATTAAGATATAGCTCTGAAGGCAGTATTCAGAGTGTTATTGTGAAGGAATGAAGTTGGCTGGTGAGCTCATTCAAATAGCATAGTCTGCTGGGTGCAGTGGCTCACACCTGTAATCCCCACACTTTTGGAGGCTGAGGTGGGAGGATTTCTTGAGGCTAGGAGTTCGAGACCAGCCTGGGCAACATAGTGAGACACCATGTCTCTACAAAAAATACAAAAAATAGCCAGGCACAGTTGGGTATGCCTATAGTCCCAGCTACTCAGGAGGCTGAGGTAGGAGGATGGCATGAGCTTGGGAGGTTGAGATTGCAGTGAGCCATGATTGCACCACTGCATTCCTATCTGGGTAACTAAGTGAGACACTGTCTCAAACCTCCCCTGCCAAAACAAAGAACAAATATCATAGTCAAGGGAGGCCTCTTTAAGGAGATGAGTGTTGAGGTGACACCTGAAAGACAGGAATGAACCAGTTTTAGTACTATCCAAGAGAAGGGTATGCCACATAGAGGAAACTATAAAGCCCATGAGAGAGCACTTCATGTATTTGGGAAGCTGAAAGTGGCAGTCAGACTGTTCAGAACATGGTGAACCAGGAGAATATTATGAACGTATGGTCTGTAACTTAGGTACGTTTCTAAATTTTTCTGTTTCAATTTCCATAGCTATCAAATACAGATAGTGGAACTAACCACAGAAAATTATTGAAAGAGTTAAATTACACAGTAATGAATAGTTCTAGCATCTACTAGCTGCTCCATTAAAAAAATTATTTAAAAGAAGAAGCAGCAGCGTTTTCTTTTCTTTCACACATCATCCATTACATTTGAAATTACACTCCAGGACATTCATTACTACAACTAATTCTGACCTAACTACAGCAAAATGGAGGAAGCGTATTCACACATTTTCTATCACCTGACCAGCCTCAATCACTTTACAGCTGCCATCAAAATCTGACAGGCCTATGATCACTGCTCTAAAATACTTTCATTAAAAATATCCTTATCAAATGTACTGTCAAAAAATCAGTATTTGATTTGCTGTGTAGTTAACCTCCAATTAGTTTTGGAAAAGAAAGTACATTATAATCACTTTTCAACTATTAAAACAATTTCAAATTTGGTAAATTTCTACTTGCAATTATATAAAACAATGGCAAGTGTCTTTTTAGATAATTATATCTAATCAATTGTAATATAATCTATTTTAAATCCACTAAGAGATATTTCAAAATACCAAATATGCTATTCACTCACTTATACCACATGTATTAGGGAGTAAGATACAAGGTATAAAATTCTCTGCAAATTGAAACTTTATTAACAAGGGTGATAAATTAATAATGTTTTAGAAGACGTAATTTTTGTTTCAAAAAAGAGGGTAGACAGGTTAAACCGAATTCAGATTTTTTTTCTTACTAACTATGATACCTTAAATTACCCTTCATTTCATTCAATTATGACTCTTTTTTATTCTAGTAGTGCTTTAGCTTTCTGAAGCAGCCTTCAACTGAACATTCTACACTATTCTCAATTGTCAGTATTGCTGCAAGGCTGTTCAAATAAGAGTGAGAAGATGAAAAGTGTTTTGAACTTGCCATGTAGCCATAAAATATCTGCAATGTTGTCCATGTTTATTTTGTAGTTCTCCAGGATATATTTCTACATAGAGTCAGAATTTCTGAAGTTACTGATCCCTTTTCTTCTTTTATACAAAATGATGTTCCAAATTCCAAAACAGTTACTTTCAAGAACTGTGTTAAAGGTACCATTACATTTATAAAATCACAGTGACTCATACAAAATAAGGGTTTTCAATAAATTAGTTTGATTAATGAATATGTCCAGGAATGCCCTATAGAGTGATTTACAATGTTATTTTAAGCACAATTTTGCAACTAATTTTGAGTTATTTGCTAATGAAAAAATTCTAGAGATTCAAAAATAAGGCGAGGCAGGCAATTATAGTAACTGTGACTTAATTTACATTTTATTTTGCAAAATTTTATCCCCAGTACATGCACATTCCTCATTCAGAGTTTCTTGCCTTTTTGATTTTTTATTTTTAGAATCTAGGTGAAGCCTAGATCTAGGCCAGATATGGTAAATTAAGTTTTATCTTGAGTGCTTCCAATAGGCACTAAGATTAGGAGGGTTCTAGGGCCATGTCCAAGCTCATTAGGATGATTACTTTTAATGATATCTGCCATGGAGGATGGTGGGGGGAGTGCTAACATGGCATTTTCCATCCTAACTTAGAGAATGTTTTATAGTAGATAAGATTTTTCATATTCTACAGTTGTAGTATCCATTGATAGCACTTATTCCCTATCACCCACACTCTTATATTCATACTCTCTATTTTCTTTTCAAATTATATTTTTAAGAATAAATATAATTTTCATTAGTAATACCAATAACAATAAATAATTCTCATCTTAAATATATGTTTTTATGCCAGGCACTGTGCTAGATGCTTTATGCACATTTTCGTAATACCCACTAAAATGACTGTGGAGTAGGAATTATTCCTAATTTACAGAAAAAGCTCAGATTGCTGAATAACCTCAATGCTAATAACTTTACAGTTCAGAATTCAAGCCCATGCCTTTCTGATACCAAAGCCTGTGGTAACTACATTTACTGAGAGATTTTAAACGACATTGTCAACTACATTTACCAAGAGATTTTAAATAGCATTGAAACTCAGGGCATATGATTACCAATATAGATAAAAGCTATCAGTGGAGATGTCAATACCAATGATGAGATCTCATTTATCTTCTAGTAAATAGACAAGTTATGTGTTGTCCAATTCTTGATATTCCTCCAGATTGAAGCCAATCCATATAGAATATCAGCACTTGGGTTAATAGCATTGAAGGGCTTTAGTACAGGAAAAGACCTTAGGGATAATCCATTCTTTCCAGCATCCTCATTTTTTGGATGAGGCCATAGAGCTTGGAGAGGAATAAAGTGACCTTCCCTGGTTCATGAGGACAGTGAATGTAATAATTGGTAATCTGACTCTAAATCCTGTATTCATTCTACGACCTCCGTCTTCATTTCTAAGCACATATCAAGTAAATGACAGAAATAAATCTCAAAATCAGGGCAGAAGTACAAGCCTTGTGCTAAAAGTATGCCATGAGTTAAAGAAAGAAAATAATAGAAAAGAAAGAACAGAAATGAACTAAAGAGTTCAAATAGGAAAAAAGAAACTTAACTGGACTATTAACAAACAAAAAATATTTTATAGGCCGGGCGCGTTGGCTCACACCTGTAACCCCAGCATTGTGGGAGGCCGAGGAGGGCGGATCATGAGGTCAGGAGATCGAGACCACCCTGGCTAACACGGGGAAACCCCGTCTCTACTAAAAATACAAAAAAATTAGCCGGGCGTGGTGGTGGGCGCTTGTAGTCCCAGCTACTCGGGTGGCTGAGGCAGGAGAATGGCATTAACCTGGAAGGCAGAGCTTGCAGCGAGCCGAGATCCGAGATTGTGCCACTGCACTCCAGCCTGGGCGACAGAGCGAGACTCTGTCTCAAAAAATAAAAAAAAAAATTATAGTACCCACCACCTAAAATCATCATTACCTTTTTACCTAAGCTTCTATTACTTATTCCCTGACAAACATATATTAATGCTTTTAAGAAAAAATATAAATCATAATCTCTCTCCCCTAAGAATAAACCCTTGACTTGCTTCAGGTGTCTCTGTACTCTGCATTGTAGATATCCCAATATCCCCTAAAAGTTTGTTGCAACACAATTTGAAATCACTGGATGTATTTTACGGAAATAGTCTCAAACAACGTCAGAGAGGGGTTACCTCAGCCACTACAAAATCCAGGAGTGTGGCAACAGCAACCATCTTGGAGAGGTCCACTTATGGTCTTGAGATGTTATGCTGGTTCCTGAGTCATGAGCTGGTTTTAGCTGCTGAAACAACATCTACAGCCTCGTGGTGCATAGTGACATTTGAGAGAATATAATTCTCAGGATTCAAATGTAATGACCCAATGGACATTTCTGCTAATTGTCAAAAAGGAAGGCAAATTACAGAACTGTTCTCTTGGTATTCTAGAGAAAAGAAGGCTGCAACATATCACTCAGAACTCTGCCTAAACACAACAATAAGAATGCAGACTAACAATGGGTTGGAAAACAATAACGAATAGCCTATATTCATGTCAGGCTTAATTCCGGGTTTAAAAAGTCACAAAATAATGTGCTGTATTGCACCATCATCTTCTCTGTTTTAAACCTACTATTCACAGATGCACAACTTAATTCTCAGAAATTACTGATCACAGGACATACACCTTTTATTTAAAAGAGAACAACAGTGTGTGTGGTATATATGTTGTGTTTGAGGGGTGGTTGTTCTGACTGGCTAACGGTAACGTGTACTCATACAACGTAATTGCCACCAGTTAGGGGAGGCTGAACCAATCATAGATCCTTAGTCTTCAGATTTCTTTTTTAGTCAAAAACTATAAACAATGAGGACATTTTCACTTCTCAATCATAGAATCAGGATTTTTCTCTTACAGTTAACAAAACAATTACTTCCAGTTTTAGTTAAGAACTATAAATCTTAAGAGGTGAAGTGTCAAGTTAGTGAGAAAAAGGCATCTCCTCAGGTGGAAAATTCTCTATATTAAGCTAATGTTCAGTGATATTTAGGTACCCATTTCTGTAAGTCTGTAGAAGCTGCTTCTCACTGAGGAATCAAGAATTAAGTGAATAGAAGAATACATTTAGATTTTTTTTTCAGAAAATGGAACAAAGTTAACATGTTTAACACTGTTTATATAATGTAGTAATATATGACAAACACGTTATATTGTGATTTTTCAATTAGTCATTATTTTACAGGTTATTGTAGCATGCAAATAATCTTACACATAGCAAACATCAAAAGAAGGCAGGAGATCAGTTTGGAAATCAGAAAATTCCTATTTTTCTATGGGGTCTCATTAATTTCAGCTTCTGAAAGGCAAAATATCTAGCTTACCCATCTTTCAGATACTTTTGAAGCTATATCTTTTCTTAAGGAATCTTAATAATAATATTCTGGTAAATTTTTAAAAATTAATGTGTTAATTATAAATCTACAGGTAAAACATTTCCTTGCCATAAGATTCTAATTTGATGACTGAAATAACATGTGAATTCATGTAGTTTCTTAAGTTCAACTACAACAGAAATATTTTCACATCAGGCATCCAAACATGTAAAATATTTTCATTAACAGTGTATAAGCAGCAAAGTGCTAAGTAAGAGACAGAAAAGATTCAATAGCTTATAAAAGGCATCTCTGGACCTGATCAGTTAGCTATTTTTCAAGAGCTGTTTCTTTTGTATACAGACAAATTAAATCAGTTGTAGGTAGTTTGGACTTGATTCTATTTTGTTTTCTTGACCATTAGTAATGAAGAAAGTCTTATCTCATTAACAGCTATTCAATGACATATTTAAAAGATGCAACTAGATCTTTTAGGCTTTTCCTTTTTAAAAGTAAGAATGAAGACCTTCTTTCTTTGCTAGAATTCTGTATTTATCAAATGGCTTGAATGCACAATGGTGTAATGTCATTGAATCATTCTCAGAACAATATATTCTGCCTTCTTTGCCATAATTAATATGGATTTCCTCTCTCAACCTTCTTCCCAATTGCTGTTCATTTATCATAATGGAACTTGGACACATATATAATAACTAAGCGTCTATATGGTCTGACTAGAGTAAAAGTCTAACAGCAAACAACAGAAACTTTCTTAAGGAGTTTTGAGAGATGGCTTAAAAGTGAGGAAATGGTATTGGGATTTTGTTAGCTGATAGGAAAGAAATCTTTCAGCTATCACAAGTGATGTCAGAAAGATATTTCTGTGAACAGGGAACACAGCAGGATTTACTTACAGGTTGTCAGGGGCAGTGGTGGTTGAAGCTCTTCCCTGTGGTATTCATTCATTTCTTGAGTGCTGTTACAATTATTTGCTTCAGCCAACATGATCTGAAATGCATACAAAAAAGCATATAAGTATTCAAATTTTCAATGAAAATCTCAATCCTAATTAACTATAAATCAGTAAAGCCGGGTAGCCTGAGGTAGGTTAAAATGAGAACTTTGTACATGAAAGGCTACATATGCGCCCAAATCTAAGAATTTCCTAGTTGCAAACCTCTGGCTCGCTACATGCAACTTCCTTCACTTCAATTATCCTCCTAAGGGAAGTGACAGCAGGTTAACCAAGCCAAATAGGAGTCCATGTTGTCAGAGAATAAGTCATTTTTTTTTTTTTTCGTATAGAAAAAGCCATAGATCTCAATGGGAGTAGACTTCTAGCCCTGTCATCTGAGAATGTAGAGTGGAACAAAGTTAGAATTTATGCCCTCTTGTTAGCTGAATTGCACCCCTGGGGCCCTAGACCTAGAAGGAGTGAAGTTCCTTTAGCACTTTCTTTGTTCTACTCTTAAGAGACTTGCTCTATCGGTATTAGTATGCTTATATTATCTTTCCTTGCAAGACTTAATGTTCTTTAAAGACAATAACTGCACCTTCTACATCTTTGTAGGCATATTTACTATATTGTCAATATCTGGACATTGCAAATAGGATATGCTCAAAAATACATAAATACTTTAGAGAGAGAGAGAGAGAGAGAGAGAGAGAGAGAGAGAGAAAATTATATTACCAATTAAGAAACAGGAGGGAAGAGCTCTCAAACATATTACCAGGATAGACTATTTCAAACATTTATAAAGGTTCCAATTCTTGCTCTTCATGTCCTAAATGAACTTTCTATTACATTCACTGGTTTTGTTTTTGTATCTGCTCATTTCAAGTCAGAGGTGAGTTGGCAGTGGCCAATAAATAATTATACATACATTTCCACTGCCAAACATTCCACCTAGCTATCCAAGGTTATATTCACCTCTCTTTAAGTTGGAAGATAGTCAACAAGCCAACTAATATAAACAGCTTCCTAAGCAGGGTGATATATGCATTGAGAAAGACCACAGAAGTCAGATGGGTGCTGGTCAGACCTCAACCTTCCCAGTTCATCTGCTATAACTATTAAATTTTTTAACTGAGCCATAGGCTGTGTCTGAGTATTTACTTGTTTTAGATTATTTTATTCAACCCCAAATAGAAGTTTAAATATGGTCTCATGATCCATGTAACAATATTTATATAAAAACTGGGGAGTTAAATAAAACCACTGAGTATATTTTGACTGCACAATTTTAATAAAATCTCATGTTTCAAAATAGAGAGTTTTTTTTTGTTGTTTGATGAACACCAGACATTAGCGCACTGTTCATATGCCCTTCTTTGAAAACTAGCTCATTGGAGAGGAGATTGACCATTTACGATCTCTCCTTTTCTTTCTCCAGGTCTGTCTCCTGTCAATTGACTGTCTTAAATATGAACTCAAACTACAGAGTACCGACAATAATGGATAGGTCTGCAATTCTTCACTTTCTGACATCTTATTGAGAGAAAAAATAGAATCAGGATCATATTTTTTTTATTTTTTCTTTTTATATAATAGTGTTCCAGATTCATTCAACTTCTGGACTCTAACATCGCATTAGTAAAGGTATTTTCTGTAAATATTCACAGCATTCCCTCCATTGCCTACTTATTCTGAGAATGAATTGGGGTATGTGGTTTGGTCTCTTTAGTTCAATAAGTGGTCATCATGTCAATATCAATCATATTTAAAAATAACCGAAATATTAGGGTATATTTAGCCTAGGGTTAGTGTATTCATGTAGGATAATCTCAATCATATTTTAGTCATATTTCTTAATAGTTACTCTCACTTATATATTATATAAATAAAATAACATTATTTCTGAACTTGTTTGGTGTCATTTGGTGAAAGGATAGCACTAAGAAATTTATGTTATACTTGGTAAAGTATTAATTTCTTTAGAAAGCATTTGTCTTAATTATCCTATACTACCTCCTTTGTCTCTTGACTATGAAATCATCTCACTTTCTTGGAGTTCAAGTTTAATTTGCTTTTTAGTTTTAACAAAAATATTTTAATACACTATATTAATGAAATTGCCTTATAACTGTTTTATTCATGAAATAATTTCTAAAGGTTTTATATCAGAATGTTGTAAATTTTTTTCAATGTCTATTGAGTAAATAAGGCTTGCTCAAGATATCAATGGTATAACCTGTAATAGTCTGCTTAGGCTGCTGTAATAAAATGTCATAGCCTGAGTGGCTTAAACAACAGAAATGTATTTCTTGCCATTCTAGATGGTGGAAGTCCAAGATCAGGTGCTAGTATGACTAGGTCTGGTGAGGGCTATTTTTCTGACTTGCAGATGTTTGCCTTCTGGCTATGCACTCACATGGGTCTTTCCTAGGTGCATGATCAAGCCAAGAGAAATCACTATCTTTCTTTGTCTCTTCTTGTAAGGCCACCAATTCCATCAGATGAGAACTCCGCCCTGTGATCTCATTTAACCTTAATTACCTCCTAAAGCCTCCAAATGCAGTTACAATATGGGTTAGGGCTTCACTGTGGTTTGAATGCATGCGCCCCTCCAAAATTCCTATGTTGGAACCTAAGTTCCAGGGTGATGGTATTAAGAAGTGAGGCCTTGAGGGTAATTAAGTCATGAGAGCAAAGCCCTCATGAATGGGATTAGCGAACTTATAAAAAAATATTAAAGGTAACATCATAGGTCCTTTTGCTCTTCTGCTGTACATAAAAAATAGTCTAACATCTGGACAAAGAAAATGTGGTACAAATACACCATGGAATACTTTACAGCCATAGAAAGGAACAAGATCATGTCCTTTGCAGGGACATGGATGGAGCTGGAGTCATTATCCTCAGCAAACTAACACAGGAACAGAAAAGCAAACACTACATGTTCTCACTTATAAGTGGAAGCTGAACAATGAGAACATATGGACACAGAGAGGGGAACAGCACACACTGGGGCCTGTTTGAGGGGTGGGGTGGGGGAGGGAGAGCATTAGAAAAATAGCTAATGCATGCATGGCTTAATACCTAGGTGATGTGTTGACAGGTGCAGCAAATCACCATGGCACACATCTACCTATATAACAAATCTGCACATCTGGCACATATACCCTGGAACTTAAAAAATAAAAATTAAAATAAAAAAAAGTCTAACATAACGTTAACAGAAATCCCAAACAAAGAGGAAGACTAGGGAGCCATAAAAATTTAGAGACGTGGGCTGAACTTTTTTTTTTTTAATTTGAGGAAATTTAAAAATCCAGAGATCCAACAAGCTCAACAAATGTGTGATAAAGATCCCCACACCAAAAAAATAAAAAATAAAAAAATGAAGGCACATCATAAAAACCAATGTTCAAGAAAAAGTCCTTAGAGCAGCCAGAGAAAAACAGACACATTATTTACAGAGGAGCAAAAATAAGAATGGCTGCAGACTTCTTCTCAGAAACTGTGTAAGCCAGAAGAGAAATTAATGATATCTTTAAGGGCTGAAAGGTGAGGAGAGGAAGACTATCAACTTAGAATTTTACAATCAGTGAAAACTCTTTAAAAATAAATTTGTTGGGCCGGGCACGGTGGCTCATGCCTGTAATCCTAGCACTTTGGGAGGCTGAGGCAGATTGCCTGAGGTCAGGAGTTCGAGACCAGCCTGGCCAACATGGTGAAACCCCGTCTCTACTAAAAATGCAAAAATTAGCCAGGTGTGGTGGCACACGCCTGTAGTCTCGGCTACTCGGGAGGCTGAGACAGGAGAGTCGCCTGAACCCAGGAGACAGAGGTTACAGTGAGCCAAGATTGCACCACTGCACTCCAGCTTGGATGACAAAGCAAGACTCCATCTCAAAAAAATAAATAAATAAATATAAATATAAATAAATAAATAAAAATAAATTTGTAGACTTTTGGTTTCCAGTCTGGCATGTAAAGGGCTTGGAAGTTGTCACTCCATCCTAATAACAACTAAAAAGAACAAACTAAAAAATCAACTTGTCTTAGATCCATCAGAGAAGTGGAGTCACAGAGCAAGCCAATGGCCCCAAAACTGGAGAGGATCACAACTTAGCTGAGCTGATTCTCATGAGTGAACACCTCCACAGAAACCAGTACCAGGGTAGGAAAAAGCTAACCTGTAACTGATAAAGTGCTGGCATCTCGGTGTGGACAAGTCCGAGAGTTAAAAAGGCCAGAGAAGTCCAGTCGTAGGAGGCCCCCACACTTTTGTAAGCTTTACCTCTGGGAGCTTGATCAGGTTCTTACAGTGAATATTGGAGAAAATTTTCTCATGCTTTCCAGCATGAGGAGACAAAAAGTAACCATTTTAATATGCTCCAGAGTATTCTGTTTTTAACATGGCTTGCCCTCAAAAGAATGTATTTTACCAGAGTCTAAACAGTTGAAATCATTTTTTAGAGTATAACCAACCTGGAGAAAGGGAAATTGCCAACTGTAGCTCAATCTAGCCTTTCATCTGGCAGAAGAGAAGTATCCAACTTCAGGCCTTTCTTCCTTCCAAGTGGGGAAAGGAAAATACCCTCTCGAGCCATCCGTTCTCAACGGTATTGGGGGCAAGGGTGACAAGCACTTGTGAAGTTCATAGTCCAGAGTCAACGTGTTTACTAAAAGACTGAGATCTAATCAAAAGACTACAGAATGCCTTCCCTCCCCACACCTTACCACCACATTACTAAAGACCTATTTACTTCAGTTATTTTTATCCAGTATGTCATGTTTAGCTATTAAGAAAAAATTACAAGTCATACTAAGTGGCAAAAGCTGCAGTTTGAAGAGACAGAGCAAGCATCCGATCCTGACTCATATATAGCAGGGATGTTGAAATTATCAGTCCAAGAATTTAAAACAATTATAGTTAACATATTAAGGTATCTAATGGATAAAGTAGACAGCGTGCAAGAACAGATGGACACTGTAAGCAGGAAGATGGAAAATCTAAGAATCAAATAGAAACGACTACTCAGACAACTCAAGGAAACATTTTAAAGTCAATTGAGTTAGTAACCTGTTGCCTCTGTAAAATCTGTTTTGCCATATTAAATATAACATATTTATGTACATGATAGCACATCATATTCACAGGTTCTGAGGATTATGGTGGAATATCTTGCGGGGGTGCTATAATTCTGCCTATGACAGGATTCTGGAAATGACTACAGATAATATCATACTTAAGAGTGAAAGAATAAATGCCTTCCTCTGAATCTTGGGGTCAAGGTAAGGATATACACCACCCACTTTAATTTAACATCATACTAGAAATCCTAGCCAATGCAATAATTTGGAAAATAAATAAAAGGCATACAGATTGGAAAAAGACCAAATAAAAATTATTTCTACTTGCAAATTACATTATTATCTATATAGGAGATCCCAAGAAATGTATCCCAAAAAGGTAGAATAAATAAATTTAGCAAAATCACTGCATAGAAGGTCAACACATAAAAATAAACCATATTTCCAATTTTCACAATGAACAATTGGAAACTGAAATTTAAAAAATATTACCATTTAAAATAGCTCCAAAATATGAAACCCTCATATATACAGGATCTGTATTGAAAAGTATACAATGCTGACAAATTAAAGTATACCATTAATGTACAGCAAAATAAAAAGAGAGACATACCGTGTTCATGATTTGGACATATCCATGTAGTAAATATGCTAATTCTCTCCAAATTAATCTATGGTTTTAACACAATCCCTGTCAAATTTCCAGCAGGGCTTTTAACAATAGATATAGGCAAGCTGATCCTCAAATTTATTTAAAAGGAAAAAGAACGAAGCCAAAAATATGGTGAATAACTGGAAGAATAAAGTTGAAAGACTCATAACATTTCATTTAAAGACTTACTGTATAGCAACAGTAATCAAGACTCTGTGATATTGCCAAAGGGATGTATGTAATAGATTAGAGAATTCAGAATTGGCCCCACCATAATGTATTCAGTTGAATTTTTCCCTTACATTTCTTGTATTTCTCATATTTCTTTTTAGTAGATTATTTTGAAATTGCATTCTTAAAAAAAGACTATACGCAAAATATATTAGTACAATATTATAAACATATAAATATAAATGCTCAGAATGACATTTTGTATGCTACTGTAAGGCATAAGCTTTTTAAAATTAAACATTTTATTTAGAGGTAATTGTAGATACATATTTAGTTGTAAGGATAGAGAGATCCTGTATACCCTTTACCAAATTTTCCATTGATAACATCCTCAAAACTATAGTACGATATCACAACCAGAATATTGAAATTGATAGAGTAAAGATATGCTCATTTTCTCTTACACAGTTCAAGGAACCCTCAAGTTGCCATTTTGTAGCTATACCCTTTTCCTCCCATTCTTCCCACTTGAAACTGATATTCTGTTCTCCATTTCTATATTTTTGTGAATTTAATAATGTTACATGGAATAATATATAGCCTTTTGTGCATGGATTTTGTTTTTACTCAGCATTCCATGGTAGAGGTACACCACAGTTTCTTTAACCATGAATCATTTAGATGATGAACACTGTGAAGCAGGTTCACTGTGAACTGGTTACCAACTTGTCTGAGTCTGGTGAGACAAGACACCCATACAATCAACAAATTACATGAAGTGAGTGTATTACAGACAGCAGCAAGGGAAAACAGAAGCCTAGGATCCATGTGAGCTGGTCCCCCAAGGCTCACAAGGCTGCCCAGGGGGAATGGAGTCTGTGCCCTACCTGCACTTCAGCTGATGGACCCTGGACAGCACCCCACCATAGGTTATTTACCTAGGGTAACCTGACCCACTGTACTGAAGTGTTGACAGACAGCCTGTTTTCAGGAGAGGACTAAAACAGAGCCTGGGCTTTTCTGGCCAGCTCCCCTTTCTCGCGCGATGTTGCGTTCTCAGCACATTCTGCAGTTATCCTTGTGAACTACAAGCAAAAAAGGGAGAAGAACTGGGTCAGTCCAAGGCCACCAGGAGTGCCCTACTGCAGACATCTGGATGGTTTCCAGTTTTTGTGTACCACAAATACAACTGCTATGAAACATTTGGGTGCAGGTTTTTGTGTGAACATAATTTTTTTTTATTTCTTGCTGGATTGCATGGTAGTTGCATGCTTCGTTTTATAAGATCCTAACAAAGTCTTTTCCAAAATGACTGTACCATTTTACATTCCCACCAGCAATGTATGAGTGATTCAGTTTCTCCACAATCTTGCTAGCGTTTGTTGTGTCACTATTTTTTATTTTAGCCGTTCTGACAATTGAGTAAAATATCTCATTCTGGTTTTAATTTGCATTTCCCTAATGGCTAATGGTATTTCACATTTTTTCATGTGCTTATTTGTATACGTATATCTTCTTCAGTGAAATGTTCCTTTATGTCTTTTTTCCATGTTCTAATCGGATGGTTTGCTTTTTTACTGTTAAGTTTTGAGAGTTCTTTATATATTCTAGACACCAGTCTTTTGTCAGATATGTAGTTTGCAAATATTTCTTTCTGTTTCCGTACCTGTATATACAGTCGACCCTTGAACAATGGCAGGTTTAAACTGCACAGGTCCAATTATATGCAAATTTTTTTTCAATAAAATTACACTGAGTGTGTCTGCCTCTCATGCCTTCCCTTCCATCTTCTCTACTTCTTCTGCCTCTGCCACTCCTGAGACATCAAAACCAAGCCCTCCTCTTCTTCCACCTTCTCAGCCTACTCAAGGTGAAGACAACAAGGATGAAGACCTTTATGATGATCTACTTCCATTTAATGAGTAGGAAATATTTTCTCTTCCTTATGATTTTCTTATTTTCTCTATCTTACTTTACTGTAAGAATACAGTATATAATGCATATACAAAATATGTGTTAATCAACTTTGTTATTGGTAAGGCTTCTGGTCAACAGTAGGCTATTACTAAAGTTTTGGGGGAGTCAAAATTTATACACAAATTTTCTACTGCACAGGTGGTACCAACCCCTGTGTTGTTCAAGGGTCAATCATACATATAAACATGTATATAAATATGTATACACATTTAACAATTTATGCATATTTATATGTATTTATATATGTATACATCCACGCTTTGTTTTATGAGATACTAACAAAGTCTTTTCCAAAATGACTGTACTATTTTACATTCCCACCAGCAACATATGAGTGATCCAGTGATCCATATGTATGTATACATACATACATTGTATGAAGCATAGGCATACATTGTTAAATTATAAGAATAATATAAAATAGTCTGTGTATATTTATAGATGCTGTTTATTTTGTCCCCAGAATCTTAAGGACAAATTTTGTCATGAAACTTTTATACTATTTTGTAAAATCTGGTAACATTCTCAACTGTCATTCTTAGCCTCATTCTCTATCTTCAGGGATTATCTCAGTTAAAAATCCATGGATGACCACAGGTTTGGGAGAAGCTGAAAGGCCATTCTGTTTTATTTTGTTTTGTTTTGTTTTTTAACTTTTTAAGTCCAGGGCAGATATATGTGCAGGATGTGCAGGTTTGTTACATAGGTAAATGTGATTCATGGGGGTTTATTGTACAGATGATTTCATCACCCAGGTATTAAGCCTAGTATCCATTAGTTGTTTTTCCTAATCCTCTCCTTTCTCCCATCTCCACCCTCTCATAGGCCCCAGTGTGTTGTTCCCCTCTCTGTGTCCATGTGTTCTCATCATTTAGCTCCCACTAATAAGTGAGAACATGCCATATTTGATTTTCTGTTCCTGCATTAGTTTGCTAAGAATAATGGCCTCCAGCTTCATCCATGTCCCTGCAAAGGACATGATCTCATTCTTGTTTATGGCTACATAGTATTCCATGGTGTACTTGTACTGCATTTTCTTTATCGAGTCTATCACTGATGGGCATTTAGACTTGGAATCCAGTCTATCATTAATTCCCTGTCTTTGCTGCTGTGAATAGTGCTGTGATGAACATATGCATGCATATGTCTTTATAACAGAACGATTTATATTCCTTTGGGTATACACACAGTAATGGGATTGCTGGGTTGAATGGTGTTTCTGTCTTTAGGTCTTTGAGGATTCCCCACACTGTCTTCTGCAATGGTTGAACAATTCACACTCCCATTAACAGTGTATAAGCGTTCCGTTCCACCCCTGGCCTCACCAGCATCCATTATTTTTTGACTTTTTAGTAATAACCATTCTGACTGGTGTGAGATGGAATCTCATTGTGGTTTTGATTTGCATTTCTCTAGTGATTAATAATGTTGAGTTTTCTTTCGTATGATTGTTGGTAGCATGTATGTCGTCTCTCAAGAAGTGTCTGTTCATGTCCTTTGCCCACTTTTTAATGGGGTGGTTTGCTTTTTTCTTGTAAATTTGTGTAAGTTTTTTGTAGATACTGGATATTAAACCTTTGTCAGATGCACAGTTTGCAAAAATTTTCTCCCATTCTGTAGGTTGTCTCTTTACCCTGTTGATAGTTTATTTTGCTGTACAGAAGCTCTTTATCAATAAGAATTATTGTCATACAATAAAATGCACCTATTTTAAACATACAGTTCAATTATATCCCACTTGTCAATTTTCGCTTTTGTTACAATTGCCCTTGGTGTCTTTGTCATAAAGTCTTTGCCCATGCCTATGTCCTGAATGGTATTGCCTAGGTTGTCTTCTGGGGTTTTTATAGTTTTGGGTTTTACATTTAAGTCTTTAATCCAAAAACAGCATGGCACTGGCACAAGAACAGTCACATAGACCAATGAAATAGAATAGAGAATCCAGAAATAAGACCGCATACCTACAACTATCTGATCTCCAACAAACCTGACAAAAACAAACAATGGGGAGAGGATTCCCTATTCAATAAATGGTGTTGGGATAACTGGTTACCCACATGCAGAAAACTGAAATTGGGCCCCTTCCTTATACCATATAAAAAGTTAACTCAATATGCATTCTGTTTTTCAAAGGGTCACTTTCATCGGAAGAATTTTGGTCAATATATTAGAAGCAATTTGCGGGGATGGCACATGAAATGTAAGGTGGGTGGGCACTTTTGTTTTAACATTTTTATTGGGAAATCATTGTCATACAATAAAATGCATCCATTTTAAATGTACAGTTTAATGAGTTTTGGCAAATGTTGAAATTATTGAAACCACCACCACATCAAGATATGAAACATTTCCATCACCCCCAAAATGTCCAATGTCACTTGAAGTTGATCTCCTCTCCTACCCTAGGCCTACGCTCCTACTGATCCGCATTTTGATTCTATAGTTTTTCCTTTTCTAGAATTTCAACAAATGGAATCATCAGCATGCAGTCTTTGTGCATGCTTTTTTCCTTTAGCATAATGTTGTAGAACTTCATCGATGTTCTATATATTCATATTTTACCTTTCATTTCTGAATGACACTGCTTTTAAAAGATATACATAATCTGTTTTGCTTATTGTTGGACATTTAAGTTGCTTTCCAGTTGGACCTCTTATGATTATGTTCCAGTGAAAATTTATTTACAAGTCTTTGCAGATGTATAAGTTCCCACGCCTTTTGGGTGATTTTCTGGGCCATATACTAAGTGCAAGCTTCCCACTGTTGTTTCTAGCCCTGAGTTTTATCCTTTGACACCTCGAGTCAGTAAAGCATTTGCTTTTTGCCCTTAGAGTTGTAAATGGGTTGGAAAATACACTCAGTCAAAGACGAGCATACTCTCAAGTCATACCAGAAGCTAGTTTTCCTTTCAAAGGTAGATCCTTTAGTTTCTACCTGCTTTTTAGCAGACTTTCTGTGTTCTCCCATACTCGTATGTAGTTTACAGACAACTGAAATTTTGAGCAGACTTTATATTTAGATTTTTAAATTTCTGCTCTTTTGTGGCTATTTTGCTTACAAGATATTCCTCTGAAATATCCAGCTAATCTGTTGCCTTATTCTCTATCATCTGCCACCTTCAGCTGCTAAGACTGCGGTTCTCCACCACCTCGTTTGAGGAGGTGGGATACTTTGTGAAGCATCCGAGAAAAAAAAAATCTCAAATTCACAGTATGTACCCGATACAACAATCATCTTTAAGAGAAAATTATTCTTAGATTTTTACTTGATTTTGGTAATTTCCAATACCTTCAAATAATTATTTTTAATAATTTTGTCCAGAATTAAAAATTGTTATTGTAGAAAGGATAGCTTGTCATTACCAGAAAGGACTTATTTTCTTTTAAATTCCAGAAATACCTAGAAAAATAATCCTCAAATGTTAACTAGATGCCATTTTATAGTGGTAGAATTTCAGATAACTTTTATTTTTTTTTTTATGTTTTTCTCTATTTCTTGATTTTTCTGCATGGATGTATGTTACCTTTATAATCAGAATAAAAAGAACATTTCATTTTATTACTTTCATTTTGTAATAGTTTGCAAGAACAAGAACACCAAAAGTTGGAGCTGAGATGTAATTTTAAAGACTGTTAAAGTGCTTTAACAAACAAAAAAGAGTTATTTTGTAATTAGTATAGTTTTATGTCTAATGCAAAATTTTCCATTAAGGTGGTACTTGAAAAGATTTGTTGGGCTTTCATTCTTAAGTAGTGTACCATTTTGTCATATGTATGTTATTAATTTGTATTATTATAATGTACATTTTAATAATAAAAAATAATGTAGGTTTATGTTCTCTGATCAATTTCAGTCATAATTAATATAATTTATCTGCTTTTTTAAAAGGTTTCAGTATTATTTATTTTGGGAACATCTCCTGACCTGAGAAAGATACAAGGAGATAATAATAGCTGTTACTTATTGAGAATTGATAAAATACCAGCCACTGCTCCAAATGCTTTATACATTTTTAAACTCTTTAACCCTCTTAACATCCCCACAAGTGGGTTCAAATATGAGCTCCATTTTATAAATTAAGAAGTGGAAATTTAAAAAGATTAATTATTTCTCTAGGGTCATTATGTTAGTAAACGGCAGAGCTGGAATTCCTTGAATTTGAGCCCAAGCAGAAGACTCTATGCTTACATTTTTATCACCACTACACTATACTGTGGTGACATATACAGTAGAAGTGGTGAATGGGATCTTACGGCCCTTCTCTAAAATTAAATAGCAGAAAATATTGCAAAAAGAAGTTAGAGATGTCCTTCAGAGATCTAAGAAGGCTAAATTGGGCTAACATTTTTCCCAGGGTGTTTTGGATGTGATCCAAACAAAAGGCAAGATGAAGTCTGAAAATTTCTTCCAGATCTATAATTCAGTATCTTGGTTATCAGCTATTTTGACCTGAGGGAAAATTTGGAAATAAATATCTTCTCACACCCTGCCCCCCAGAAACTACTTTTTTAAATTCAACCTTTGTACTCACTTCTCTCATCATTTGTATTTCTAAAAAGCCAGGCTATTTCTCAAGGTCAATTTAGTGAAAAGAACAGTGGAGAGGAATACAGCACCTTCTGATTTTTCTCCAGTAGCCATTTCCTTCTTCCTCAGTGCTAAAACCTCCTACCTGGAGACTACCTAGCCAAACTACATTTCTCTGTCTCTTTTGTAGTTAAATGTGGCAATGTGACTAACTTCTTGCCAAAATAACGTAAGCTGAAGTGAACTTTGCAATTGAAGTCACATCTTTCCACAGGAAGGTACTTACTTTCCATGTCCCTTGTTTTTTGTTTTGTTTTGTACTGTTTTCTGCTACTGGGAAAAAAAATGGATCTAAGTGGAACAGCTGATTTGCATCCGTGTATCAGAATCTTTCATTGAGAATGGCATGGTCAATCTATCTGCCCTGGATCAAGTTCCTCTGAACAGCGAAATGAGAAAAAAAAAAAAAAAATGTCCTTCTATATTATTTGAATTGGGTATTTTGTTGTATCATTTTTACAAAGTAGGTCATATCCTAATTTGAAAATTGGCATCTAAAAGTGGAGTATTGCCATAAGAAACCCCAAAATGTGTTACTGGCTTGGCTAGAAAGCTGGTGGCTCTTGTTATATTGGGGCCAAATCTAATAAAACAGTTAACTATGATAATTTTAGAGGTAGAACACATCTTTATGAGAATTGAAGCTCTAGGGTACATGGCTAGAAAAAAAAGTTAAAATGTCTGTGTATTTTTAGCAGATTCTTTCTCCTTTTAGTAAGTTACTAGGAAAGAGATAGACTTAGTCAATCAGTAGCCAGATTGAAACAGAGATGGAAGGGAAGAAATCCTTTCTAATGGAGCTAATGGGACTCTCTGTCCCATTGATTACAACAGGCGCTGATCTTTGATGATATTTTCTTGCAGGGATATTTTTTCTGTTTTTTGCTTTTGTTTTTGTTTTAATCATAAAATTTGTTTGTTTTAATCATAAAATCACAGTCAGGGGTCAATAAGAAGCCTGCAGCAATGGTCTTTCGAAGTCACGGTTTTATCTGAATTAGAAATAGGCCATTTTGGTTTGAGAGAGGAGACTGGTTGAAAGTTTCATTTTTGCTTCCTCTTCTAACTTGCCAGCTTTGTGGGTAATTTGGTTGTCAAAGAATACATTGCTAGAGAAAAGGGGAAGTGTCAAATTAGCCTAACAAAAGAAATTTAATATCTCTTACACAACAAATCAATGTGTTAAAATTGTAACCAAAGCAAACATCTTACATTACAAAAAAAAAAAAAAAAAACCAAACTATATTGTCTGTGAGTTCAGAAATTTGAAACCTTAAAAGATTTAAAAAAAAAAAAAAAGCCAAATTCCAAATATATCTGAAGCCCAAACAGCAGAAGAGAGCATGGTGGCTGAGAGCCTTTCTAGAGATTGCCATATTAAATTTCCTTCATCAGAAAATTGGAGCAACCCAGCATCTGAGGTCAGTTTAATATTGTCCTCTCATTCAGCTAATGTTACGGATGGTCTAACGGAAGCTGCCATTAAATTGAGATGGGTGGGGAATATTCTGAGCCTAGGAACTAGTACATAAATGAAAGTTTGAAGTTACAAAATCTATAACCAGAGAAGATTCCTTCACTTTGGTTTCTTCACATGTTGCTGACAGGAAGCAAAGTGGTGAAAAGGAAACATTGCTCACCATGGTCTGGCCTGCAAAAGCCTGTGGTACGGAACCTCTAAATTAACCTTTGTTTCCCAAAGTCTATGCCAGCAGTATAAGACTGCAAGGACGTGTTCTTCAACTCCATTTTCATTTGTGGCCACAGAGTAAATTTTACAAGAGGACAAAGACAGAATTACAGAGAACGCTGGACAAAGGAATCATTTCCAAAACCCACAGCAAATAGCTGGGCTAACAGAAAAACTTTCACAGCATGATGTCTTCAGAATTTTCAATCAGCAGGATTTAATGACTTGTGTGTTTTACCTTCTTCCCTCTTTTGAATTTCTAGTTATATTATTCCTACTGCACCATTATATGTAGATTGAGCATGTGGAGGGCATGTGCCTTTTAGTTTATAAGTCACAGGACAATAGGTAGCCACTTCCTGCACTGGAGAGTACTGTGTTTCACCGTGATACATAGACTTTTTGTTGGTTTTAACTCTAGATCTCTTCTGTCAGGAAGGAAAGAGAATGTTGTATGTGTACAATACAGGTGTATATTGATATGTGGATGGTCAGAGGGAGGCACCCTAGAATTGCCTGCTAATCGTCTTCAACATCCATTCTACTCTCCTCCTTAATTAATAGAATCTTTACTGGTAGAACGTGAATGATCAGGTAGAAACTACATTTCCCAGCCATCCTTGAATGTAGGTGAAAGCCTGTGACTAAAATCTGGCCAACAGAACATGATAACTAGATGAGTAAATGTGATATATGCAACATCTGGTCATAGCTGTTAAATGGAAGTTACTCCACCTGTCTGCTGTATAGAGGATGAAGTCAAGTAGATTTTGAACAAGTGGAGCTTTGTTTTAAGTAAAGCTCTCTTGCAGTAGCTTAGCATGTAACCTAAACATTAGTAACTTCTGGCCATATGACTTGAAAGCAAACCATGAACCTTAATGAGCCTGAGTTTCTTTATCTCCTAAAACAAATATTTTTTCTTTCAACTATCCTGATGTTATATGTGATTCCTATATGACAAATATAAGAATTCTGAAAACATTTTACTGTACACAAATTTAATATAATTTTTAATGAATTACAGTTCAAATACTCTAAAAATGATATAGAAACACAAATTATTTATCCACATCTTCTCCAGCATCTGTTGTTTCCTGACTTTTTAATGATTGCTATTCTAACTGGCATGAGATGGTATGTCATTGTGGTTTTGATTTGTGTTTCTCTAATGACCAGTGATGATGAGCTTTTTTTCATATGTTTGATGGCCGCATAAATGTCTTCTTTTGAGAAGTGTCTGTTCATATCCTTCACCCACTTTTTGAAGGGGTTGTTTTTTTTTTTATTGTAAATTTGTTTAAGTTCTTTGTAGATTCTGGATATTAGCCCTTTGTCAGATGGACAGATTGCAAAAATTTTCTCCCATTCTGTAGGTTGCCTGTTCACTCTGATAATAGTTTCTTTTGTTGTGCAGAAGCTCTTTAGTTTAACTAGATCCCATTTGTCAATTTTGGCTTTTGTTGCCATTTTTTTTGGTGTTTCAGTCATGAAATCTTTGTCCACGCCTATGTCCTGAATGGTATTGCCTAGGTTTTCTTCTAGGGTTTCTATGGTTTTAGGTCTTACGTTTAAGTCTTTAATCCATCTTGAGTTAATTTTTGTATAAGGTGTGAGGAAGGGGTCCAATTTTAATTTTCTGCATATGGCTAGCCAGTTTTCCTAAATTAAAACAATAGATATTTCTCACATGAAACTATTCTTTTCCTGAAAAACAATCACATAATTTTCAGTGTCATTTCTTAGGAATTATTCAGGTGAAAAAAGTATTGTATACCAAGATATTCATAAAAATGTTGCTCATTTCTTTTTAAGAGGAAAAATAAAAAAGCTTTATCATGGAAGGGTAACTAATTTCACAATGATATGCCATCTTAATAAAATATTATACAAATAGGTGTTGCTGGATACATATATTCCTTTTGCCTTCCAGATCCACCCTGCTCTGTGTCACTGGTGGTTGACCTGCTTGGACCTTTATCAGCAGGTTATTTTTCCCTCTGATCATGGCAATGAGAAACACTGGCAGGATATCAGAAAGGAGAGTAGGGCATTGGTATTTATTCTCCCAAGTGCCTCTTTGCATGATCACTGAAAGCCGTATGGGCTCCTCAGTCAAAAGTGATGATTTCTGTCACCCAGACCTCTACAGAGAACAGTCTCCATATCTCGGTTGAGTGACCATTCTCATCCCTGGCCTCTTTGTCCTTGAGTTGAGAGCAGCACCCTGTTACCAGCCCTGGGATCCCTGGGATCCTGTACCAGGATCCCTATACCTTTGGATTCCTTATACCTAGCCCACATCTTTATAAATTGTTCCTTTATTAAACTGTTCTTGAATTATCTAATTTGAGTGTGCCATCGATTTTCTCCTGGACCCTGCATGGTACACAGGCAGAAAATAAAATATTATATGATCATTATAATATAAAATATAATATATAAGGTTAAAGATCAAATGAAAGACAGAAACCAGTGGAATACCATGTTATGGTGATTAGCTTAAAGGTGCTAACATATTTTTCTCCTAAATTACATTTACTGTAAGGTTATTTTATTAGTTAAAAAATGTAAAATTGTTGCTAGGATATTTTGTCAGGTGGATTCTTTAGCATTGCTTTACTAACTAGATAAGAATGAGTCATTAACATGTTGAGTTTATTGAATTTATGTAAATCACCTTAATCAACTGCTTTCTCTTTTTCTGCTCCTAGGCCACAGAGAATTGCTAAAGAAAGTTTTGGAACCATGCTGACTTGATTTTACTCAGACTTCTTCATTTCAAGCAAAGGAAGCAGATTCTGGCTCTTTCACCAGAGAAGAGGCTTAGTAAGCAGATATCAGGAGCTCACAGGTTTGTTGTGAAAAGAACAAGATTCCAGGACAAAGCTCAAGACCTAGCTTCCAGGAGCATGCTTTGAATGGCCGAACTGGCCTCCCAGGAAAACTTTTCATCATAAATGTCACTGAGCAGTAGATTCTACAGCTTGCCTTACAGAAGCCAAATATTTGACTTTGCTACAAACTCAACTACTGCCTGAGTCTTGCTGCTTATGATTGTCTCACAACCACCACTGGCTGGTAAAGCCAAATGGCTCTGGCACCATTCTTGCTGCAAGGTGGACTTTGAGTGCTTGTCCATCCTCATGTGGCTCCCTTCCGAACCAAAATCTCACTCCAGCTCATATGACTGGTGGGGCCTTTGAAATATTAGCAATATTTTCTACGTGGATAATAGGATGGATACTTACAGCTGGTAAATAATAAGACAGGTTTCAAAATACCTGAGAGAGGTGAAGAAGTGACCAGGAAGTTAGTAGAATATAGTGGTTTTAAAAAATATAGAAAGGTGAGCTGGTTATATGTCATTTACTTCAAAGGAAAGATTTAAAAATGGTGGACAAATGCCAAAAGCATCCTATCTTTGTAATATGTTGGATAGGAGCCAAGAAGTAATCAACATTTTGAGATGCAGTACAAGAGAGGAAATGGCCTTAAAGAAAGATCGGAGTTCAGTGGAGCCCAAAAAGTGAAGGGAGGTGCAGAAAGAAACAAGTTATTTAAATAATTTGTGGGCCATAGGAGAGTTTGTTTTTGATGGGGCAGAGATTGTTAAAAAATAATTGAATGATATTAAATAGAAATATATATGCAAAAATGTCCTCATCATTTTTTTCTATGGTTGTCCACTGAAATATTCAAATATTTTTAAATGTATGAAGCTGACATTTGAGACAGTGTCATGCATGGGATGATGCCTAAAGTTGCTCTCCAAAGCAAAGAGACAAATAATGGAATTTTCTTTTCATTGTTGTTGAAGAGTATGTCTCAAAATTGTAGCATTCAGTAGTTTGTTTCTTTATAAAAATTACAACATTTTCATTTTAATGAATTTACTAAAACTTGATTAAAAAAAGAACAAAATTCAACACAATATAAATTTTTACAATAGATGTCTTTTATCGCTAAAAGACTATTTTAACTTCAGCAAAAAAGAAATTGTAGAAGATTTTAGGGAAAAGCCAATATGACCTTAGAGGAATTTGCACTCTTTGGGCTCCACACATGTGCTGCAGTTATCAGAGTTCCCTGACTCCAAGTGTTTATTCAAATCTGTCAGCTAAATCATAGATCAAAATGCAAAATGTAACACTCAGGAACATTACATGGATTTGTGACACTCCCTGGAGGACTTTGGGTCCATAAAGCAATGAATGGATTATAAGAAGACATAAATATGGTATTTTCATCTATGACAGGTGCAATCTTACTCCAATGTTATTTATATTATATAAAAGAAAACTGAACCTATTTTCCTCAGTCCCTTAGGGATGAATAAGTGAATAGCTCACCATTAATTTCCAGTTTCTATGAATTCACCTTTGAAAATGTCATGTTTTCGAGTTTTTTCAACTGGCCAATGTTTATTTATTTTTACATGTGTTTACTTATTTTATATTTATTTAACAATGAAACCAAAAGGAAAATGGGAGATGAAATTGTGATAACACAATAATATTTTTTTCTTTTTTTGCCATGATCCTAAATCATGCAAAATTTACTCAACTTTGAATTTTAATGACCAATTGGGCACCCAGACTAGCTTCCCATAAATCCTGCTCTCAGTCTTTTAACATCTTTTGCATCCTCATCCTTACTTCCTGTTAGTTAGGTGGGTTATATGGCGTTCTGGAAAAAGCATGGGTCTTGAATTTAGAGGAGGAGTACGCTAGTATTTACTCCACCTAGCTTGTATCTTTATAAACGTGCAGAACTAAAATTTAACCATGAGATTCCTTAAGCTTCTCCAGCTTCAGAATGTTATATTTTGGTCCAGTCAAAATCTATGATTTTTTAAAATGGTTTTAGCCTCACAATTTTGAAAAAGAATCATGAAGTCATCAGTAAAAAAGCAGGAGTTTAGCCACAATATAAAATGCCATTTTCACACTGTATTAAACTTGGGCCAGTGAAGAAACTGCTGAGTTAGTTTTCTGTCTTGAAGGCTTAGCTGTTGTTTTCTTGTCCAAAATAGAAAGAAGATGGATACTTTAATTACTTAGGTTAACTACCGCTTAGCTAGAACTTTTGCTTTATAGGTAACCAAGAGATTTATAAGAATACATCTTTCAATATTATGGTAATGAATGGCAAAATACTAATTAGGTAGGATTAGAAAACAATTTAATATTCTTATTGCAAAAATCGGAACCAATCAGAATCATGATGTTTTACTATGTGAAATTGTTTGGCTTCCAATAATTATCCAGTGACAGGTGGCAGCCATATTGTGAATCTCTTAAGCATTGGTAAAAAAAAAAAATTAAAAGGTACTTAAATAATAATTAAAATACTAAAATATAACTATTTATTTAATTTTATCTGCCCTGCTCCCACCCCAGCTCATTTAACTTAAAAACTCTGTTCTGAAGAAAACTACAAGGATTTGTCCACAAGGGATAAAATAATCCTCAATTAAATTCAATTCAGCAAATAGTTATTGAATCTCTTTTCATGTTATTGAACTTATGTTCTTTAATTTCTCCTATCTTATTGAAAAAGAAAATGATAATACATACAAATAGAAAATATTTTAATTTTAGGTTGTTGCAAAAGTGTTTGCGGTTTTTGCAATTTCTTTTCATCAAACCTAATAAATTTGGTAAAACAAATTTTACTTTATTTTTTAAAATTGTGTCAATTTTCAAAAATAAATTTCCTGTGATGTTTTCTGATTTGTGATTTTAACCAATGAAATGGTCAGTGTGAAATATTTTTGTTGTTGTCATCACTTCAAAGTAATGAAAACACTTTAGATTGTTCAACTGTATAGAAGGTTTGCCTTCACACAATTTTATAAATTGTTGATTGTGTGTCTCTCTAAGTTTTCTCTAATACATGCAAAATAATGTTGTAAGTAAAATGAATGGCTGACTTTAACCTTATACTTAGGTGTCCATGTTTTTTAAAACAATTTCAACTCTTATTTTAGATACAAGGGCTGTATGTGTAGTTTTGTTACATGGGTATGTTGTACCCAGCTAGTGAGTACAGTAACCAGCAGGTAATTTTTCATCCCAGCCTCCCCTCCCCTTCTAGTAATCCCGTGTCTATTGTTGCCATATTTACATCCATAGGTGCTCAGTGTTTAGCTCCTACTTATAAGTGTGACCATATGGTATTTGATTTTCTGTTATTTTGTTAATTCACTTATGATTATGGCCTTAATGGCCTCCAGTTCCAACCATATTGCTGTGAAGGACATGATTTCATTCTTTTTATGGATTCATAGTATTACCTGATATATATGTACCACATTATCTTTATCCAGTCCACCATTGATGGGCACCTAGGCTGTGTCCACGTCTTTGCTATTATGAATAGTGTTGGCTATGAACATGTGTCTTTTTGGTATAATGATCTATTTTCCTTTGGTTATATACCTGGTAATGGGATTGCTGGTTCAAATGGTAGCTCTGTTTTAAGTTCTTTGAGAGAACTCCAAACTGCTTTCCACAGTGGCTGAACTCCTTTACATTCTCACCAATAGTGTATAAGCATTCCCACTTCTCCACAGCCTTCCACTTCTCCACAGCCTTGCCAGCATCTCTTGTGTTTTTGACTTTTTAATAACAGCTATTCTGACTGGTGTGAGACGGTATTTTATTTTGCTTTCTATTCACATTTCTCTGATGATTAGTGATGATAAGCATTTCTTAATATTTGTGGGTCACCTGTATGTCTTCTTTTGAGAAGTGTCTGTTCATGTCCATTGTCCATTTTTTGATAGGGTTGTCTTTTGCTTTTTTTTTTTTTTTAAGTTTCTTATAGATTCTGGGCATTAGACCTTTGTCAGATGCTTAGTTTGTGAATATTTTCTCCCATTCTCTAGATTATCTGTTTATTGATAGCTTCTTTTGCTGTGCAGAAGCTCCTTAGTTTAATTGGGTCCCACTTGTAAATTTTTGTTTTTGTTGAAATTACTCTTGTCTTGTAGACTTAGCCAAAATTTACTTGCCAAGGCTGATATATCAAGAAAGGTATTTGCTAGGTTATCTTCCAGGATTCTTATAACTTGAGGTTTTATAAATCTTTAATCCATCTTTAGCTAATTTTTGTACATGGTGAAAGGTAGGAGTCCAGTTTTATTCTCATGTACACGGGTAACCAATTAATCCAGCACCATTTATTGAATAGGGAGTCCTTTCCCCATTGCTTATTTTTGTTGACTTTGCTGAAGATCAGATGGCTGTAGGTGTGGAGCTTTATTTCTGGGTTCTCCATTCTGTTCCATGGATCTGTGTGTCTGTTTTTGTACCAGTACCATGATATTTTGGGTACTGTAGCCTTATAGCATAGTTTGAAGTCAGGTAATGTGATGCCTCTGGCTTTGTTTTTTTTGCTTAGGATTGCCTTGGGTATTCAGTCTCTTTTTTGGTTTTTGGTTCCACATGGATTTTAGAATAGTTTTTCCTAATTCTTTAAATAATTATGTTGGTAATTTGATAGGAATAGTGTTGAATCTGCAAATTGCTTTGAGTAGTATAGCCATGTTAATGATATTGATTATTCCAATCCATGAGTATGGAATGATTTTCCATTTAGTTGTGCCATCTCTCATTTCTTTCAGCAGTGTTTTGTAGTTCTCCTTGTAGAGATCTTTCACCTCCTTGATTAGTTATATTCCTAGGTGTTTTATTTTCTTTGTGGCTGTTGTAAATTGGATTGTGTTCTTGATTTGTCTTTCAGCCTAGACATTACTGGTGTATAAAAATGCTACTGATTTCTGTATGCTGATTTTGTACTCTGAAATCTTACTAAAATAATTTATCAGTTCTAGTAGCCTTTCGGTGGAGTCTTTAGTGCTTTCAAGGTATAGAATCAGATCACCAGCAAAGAGAGATAGTTTGGCTTCTTAATTTCCTATTTGGATACCTTTTATTTCTTTCCTTTGCCTGATTGTTCTGGCAAGTGCTTCCTCCATTTTTTATAAAAACAAATCATTAGTTACTCTGTGAATCTATAAAATATTTTCAAGCTTTTATACTAGTATTTGTACAAATTTCAACTTTAGTACATAAAGAAACCTTTAAGTTACATATTTTTGAATGGTCTGCTTGTTTATCTTCATGTAAAATCTTCAATGTCATTCCAATGATATAACAACTTCTAAAACTCTTCCTGAATCTGATAAAATTTGTTATGAAAAAAACTGTAGTCCAAGACTGATAAATATTTTAATTTATTGGCTATAACTGATTAAAATATTATTATTTTGATGGACTGTGTAACATAGTACACAGCTTATCAATATATCTGAAATTCATTTTTATCTTCTGAAAAATATAACTAAGAATGCTAAATCTTCTTAAGAGAAAGAAATGATCTATATGGTATAAAAAGTTACCACCCATTGAAAATATTGAATTTTTTCTTTTTAATGTTATTTCTGATTTTCTTGTATTATTTCATAATTTTTACATTATCCTAAATTTTTGCATTTTACACACACAAAAATCCCTCACAACTCTTACATTAAGTACATATTTATTTATTTATTTATTTCACCTAAGTTCTGGGATACATGTGCAGAATGTGCAGGTTTGTTACATAGGTATTCATGTGTCATGGTGGTTTGCTGCACCCATCAACCCCTCACCTACATTAGGTATTTCTCCTAATGCTATCCCTTCCCCCCAGCCCCTGACAGGCCCTGGTGTATGACGTTCCCCTCCCTGTGTCCATGTGTTCTCATTGTTCAACTCCCACTTATGAGTGAGAACATGCAGTGGTTGGTTTTCTGTTCCTGTGTTACTTTGCTGAGAATGATGGTTTCCAGCTCTATCCATGTCCCTGAAAAGGACATGAACTCATCTTTTTTTATGGCTGCATAGTATTCCATGCTGTATATGTGCCACATTTTCTTTATCCAGTCTATCATTGATGGACATTTGGGTTGGTTCCAAGTCTTTGCTATTGTAAATAGTGCTGGAATAAACATACGTGTGCATGTGTCTTTATAGTAGAATGATTTATAATCCTTTGGGTATATACCCAGTAATGGGATTGCTGGGTCAAATGGTATTTCTAGATCTAGATCTTTCATGAATCGCCACACCGTCTTCCACAATGGGTGAACTAATTTACACTCCCACGAACGGTACATCGTTACACACTAAGTTTTGTTTTCTGCTATCCTTACCCGAATCACCTTTCAATAAGAATGGCTAGCACCATGAATTGCTTTCCATTGAAATGTACGTGTGAATGTGAATATGTACACATTTGTATATAACTGTAGTTTACAGAGCATGAAGTCTTATTATTTCTCATAGGAGTAAAACGTAGTTTACAACCTCACAATTTCCCAAAGACACAGATTTCTCAAAGACAGATTCCTTTGGGATAAAGTTCAGTAACTCTAGAGAGTTGATATGACTACTGTTACTATTTGGAGTGTTCTGTAAGATCCGGGAAAACTGAAAATAAACATGAAATGTAGTGGGGACAGGCAAAAGAAAAACTCACTGAAAGGAAATGGAAATATTACAGCAATATGAATCTGCTAGAAACAGACAGGACTATCCAGATGGGTGTAGAACTTTCAAAGACATGAATATTATCACAGGACAAGAGACAACTGAGAGAATGGAGAACAGTTTTTGCAAAACACACATTCATCTCTCTAATAAATCCATGGATTTCTCCCTTTTTTCTCATTGATCACATCTGTATATTCCTACTCCATCCCTTCTGTTAGGATGCCTCGCTTCCTACCTAACATGAAAAGTGCATCTTTCTGTCACTACACCTTCTTTACTGCTACTTCTCTCTGCATGTGCTGTGGGTTCAAGGACTAACCCTGGTGATGATGTCCTCAGTGAATAAGGAAGCCTGTCCCTGGAGCGCTGATGCTTCTCACACAGTCTTTAAGACCTCACTAATATGCCTGAAGATCCTTTAAATAGAGTCATGTTTTCCAAACTGTATTGCAGCTGCCTTGAAATAGAAACAGAATAGTGTCAACAAGCCTTCACTTGTGGTGATAATGTGCAATCGTGGATATGAGATTCAGTTCTTAGCATTTGATCTTTTTTGAGAGGCACTTCTGCAACATCACAGGTTTAAATGTTTCTATTGATTTTCATGTCTAGATTTATTGTGAACATATAACCTCCAGTTAGCCTAAAGCAGCCTTTCTGATTTCTTAAACAAAACAACCAGTTAGAAAAACTTAACAACAGCACTCTAAATGCCACGGGTAAGCTGAGAAAAAAAAACGTATTTATGGTAGGCATTTTATACTGAAAATTGTCAACAGTTCAGCTTTCTGAATGTATTATTATAATAAGTGACTTTTTCTGGATCATTTAAGTTTATGTTAATTTGAAATATCTGTTATATATATACATATACATAAATATCAGATCATTTTAAGATATAACAGATTATATTTATATATATATTTCATGTAAGAGGTTAATATAACTGCCTGTGCTAGATCAATATATTTCAATTGCCAAATTACATCAAAAATGAGGCACTATTTTCTTTGGTTATTTTCAGTTCTTGAATTTGCTGGGTTTATTGAAGACAAGTATTATGGCATTTCTCTGATATATATATATATATATACACGTATACACACACACATATATACATTTCTATTATATATAACAGATATATAATATATATAATGAAGAAAATCATTTTGATAGCTCTATTGCCTCCTGCATTGTAATTCTACAACATAATTTTTCCATCAGTTTATGATTAATATTTAATTATATGTTATTTATTTAATTCTACTTCAAGCAGAAAAATTGTGAAATTTAGAGAAACATTAATTTGATAATATTCCCCCCATGAAATTTACACCTATTAGTTTGGTGCAAAAGTAATTGCAATTTTTGCCCTTACTTTCAATGGCAAAAGCAATTATTTTTGAACTAACCTAAGTTTTTTTTGAAAAAGTGTTAGTCATCTTGTCTGAACTTTGTGCTATTACTGTTGCTCTCTTCCCTGTTATCTAAATATATTGACTTCATTCTTTGAAAAATCCCTCTTCTTTGTACTGCCTGTCCCTGAATTCTGCTTAGGTCTGAACAGTTTCTTATTGGTATGAATAGATATTTTAGATCACCTGGCTCTGGGTCTGGCACACAGAGTGTACATAATAATTGGTGGCTATTATTTTATTTTATTTCAAGGTAATCATGATTGGAACATTTAAAACATTTTAAATGATACTGTATTTATTTGTTGTCACCTCAATACTCAAGATATTTAGCAAAAAAACCTTAAATTTATTCTGTTCGCATTAGCTTTCTATCAAATAACAACCACATAAGCTATTTTTAGTAGTTTCCAAATGAATAATTGAGACTTGGAGTAGATAAATAAGTGTACCTTCAGGAGTAGAAAGAGGTTTTATCACACATGTTGTGCTTTATATTATTTTAAGAAGTTGAAGCATGAATCTATAGAATTTTCTGAATAAGAACATTTATTCAAAATGTAGATGATTTAATGCCTACCTCAAAATGCTGTTTTATGTAGAATGAGAAAAGAAAAACACAAAAATTTCCACTGTCTTTTGGGAATTTATTAATTACATAGTATCAATTATATACAAAGAAAAAGAATTAAAATTCTATAAAATACATGAAGATCATAGAAGAGATAAAATTAAAGTGATGGAAGAGTTTAAAGGGGATTCAAACACATTCATCTATCAAGGAGAGAGGAAGCATTTTAGAGGACATGCTATTAAATTTGACCCTCTTGAAGTTCAACAAATGTAGCATCTAATAATTTACATTCTATGTTTTGAAAAGCTATATATATACATATACATATATATACATAAATATATATACACATATATATACATAAATATATATACATATATACATAAATATATATATACATATATACATATATATATATATATATATATATATATATATGACACCTCTTCCTATATTTAAATTTAAATGGTCAGTTAATAAATTGGGAGAGATGCATTAGGTCATATTTTCGGTAACTATAAAACAGTTGAACTGTAATTATCTTTGTATATAAGCAGATTATACAAATTAGTAAGAGAATAATTGTCTTTCAATTATAAATGGACAAGTAACATGAAGAGAAAATTCTCAATAACAAAAACAATAAATATAAATGAGATAATCCATGTAAGAGGTTAACATAACTACCAGTGCTAGATTAATATATTTCTGTTGCTAAATTACATAAAAAATTAGGCACCATTTTCTTTGGTTATTTTCAGTTATTGCATTTGCTGGATTTATTGAAGATGAGTATTATGGCATTGCTCTGTTATTGATAAGGAACAAAGTTCAGGAGTTTGTAAATTCACAGAGGTTGTAAGAACAGAGCAAACAGGCAAATGGATTATTAAATGAAAAAAATGTAAGTAATAATACTGACAAAAATAATAAATGGGCATGGTTATTTATTATAGGTGGCAGGAAATATTGGTTAAACTCTTAGAAAACGATTTAGTGATATGGAGTAAAAGCCAGCATATTGGTTATCTTACACTCATTCACTAGCCTCAAGAGCAACATTTAATTTCAAGTAATAATCCAAGCACAGGAAATGTGCTTTTTGTTATTGTACTATTTATCATTGCAAAATACTCCAAATCTAAAGATGAAAAAGGACAGGAAATGTGGAAAATGAAATCTGGATTCTGCGTGTTCTGTTGTTTGCCTCCCTGGGTCTTCCTTCCCACCTCTCTAACTCTGTCTTGCTAGTTATAGAGTATGCTGAGTATGTACTGTTGAGTAAGCTCTCTTATCCTCCAGCTTTTACTTCTGTTCAGCCAATGCAAAGCATGGACTGGAGATTGGAGAAAAAGGAGATTGAGGTTGGGATACTTCCCCCCAACTGTCTCCCCAGTGATGGCTGTGGCTGGCTGTGTCCCTTCACCAAGTGTCCTCACTCCTCTTAGATAACTCTTGATGAAGCAGTCACTCGAGGCTCAGGAGCTTTTCATTTATCTTTTCCTTAAAATCCTGTAATTGATAAGGGATCCTGAGGTTACTAGCCCAAGGTAGGTACTGCAATAGCTCTTGTTTTTCCTAAACCCTGATCACACTGTTGTAAATAATCTCTTTATCAAGCTCTTCTCCTATTGCCCATTTTAGTCTATCATATATCATAATTTTATTTTATGCCAAGATTCTGATACAGAGGAAGTTTCCCTGAATTAAAAAAAATAAATTTCTGTTATTGATGACATTTTTATCAATGTTGACAATATGTGTTAAAAATGAAATATTTTTTAATCGAATTCATCGTCCCATTACCATTACAGTTCTAACTGGTTTATATAAGAAACATTTGTAGATTGACTACCCATTTCCAGGTACTGTCTTTGAGACTTGAAAGACAAGATACGGGTACACAAAGGCATATAGAGTGATGTAATGGAATTTGGAGACCCAGAAGGGGAGGGTGGAAGGGAGTGACTGATAAAAAAGAAAAATTGCATATTGGATACACTCTACCCTATTTGGGTGAGGAGTGAACTAAAATCTCAGACTTCACCACTATACAATTCATCCATGTAATCAAAAACTACTTTTACCCTCAGAAGCTATTTAAATTAAAACAAAAAAAATGGCCGGGCACGGTGGCTCATGCCTGTAATCCCAGCACTTTGGAAGGCCGAGGCAGGTGGATCACCGGAGGTCAGGAGTTCGAGACCAGCCTGGCCAACATGGTGAAACCCCATATCTACTAAAAATACAAAAAAAAAAAAAAAAAAAAAAAAAAAAAAAAAAAAAAAAAAAAAAAAAAAGCTGGGCATGGTGGTTGTCGCTTGTAATCCCAGCTACTCGGGAGGCTGAGGCAGGAGAATCGCTTGAACCCAGGAGGCAGGGGTTGCAGTGAGCCGAGATCGCGCCACTGCACTCCAGCCTGGGTGACAGAGCGAGACTCCATCTCAAAAAATTAAGAAATATGAGATATCCCAATAAACTGTACTCTATAACACATTATCACTGTTGATGAATGCAAAATATAAATCTACCCTGTTTATGATATAGCTATAATTAGTAAAAATACTGCCAACATATTTTCTAAACATCATTTGCCAAGGATGAAACATTTATGTTCTTTATGTTTTAATAATCTTATATTTGATATGGCTAGAAGTTATTGTGTAGCTTTATAATATATTAGCAAATTTGTTTTCATGCTTTAGAAAAGTTATAAAAGTCTATATGAGCCTTCAAAAAAGAGTATGAAAAACAACCACATTTGAATCACCAACTTTTCAGTAAAGCTGAGAATTTGTCTTATGGCAAATGGAGCTTCGAACCCCTAAAATTTGAATTCAGATTGCAAAAACGTGTTGCATAGCTTAAAGAGATTTATGTTTTGGCTTTTTTTTTCTGTTGACACACAGAGGAGATTTATTAAAAAACAAAAACAAACAAACAAAAAAACAGACCTTGGGACAGAATTTGCCTCTACCAGTTTTGGGACATAATATAAGAGATCAGTTTACTATTGTGGCTCAGTTTGACTCTTGGGCCGAATCGTCACTATCAAACTCTCAAACACAATAACTGTGTGACCTTTTGCAAAGTAATAAAAGTACTTAGCATGTGAGGTGGTTTTGAAGATTAAATGAAATTATAATACCTGCAAAATGATCAAAATAGTACCTGGAATATCACATACATTACTAAATGTTAGCTGTCTTTTTCCTAGCATCACTACATTTGTAGAAGTGGAGATGTTAAATATTTCTAAATCCACTGACACAATATCAAAACCAACATCTTGGACAAAAGATTGTGTTAAGGGTGTTGTGTATATGAGGGGCACAGTCTTATCATTGTAATTTTTCTAGTACTTTGGTTTTCCTTGAAGACAAGCAGACCAGGGTTGATTTTACAGCGTTTAGATTTAATAAAATCTTCCTTCCTTTCTTCCTTCCTTCCCTCCTTCCTTCCTTTCTTCCTGACTTCTCTTTATCTTTTATCTTTCTTTCTTTTTCTTTTGTCTTTCTCCAACCAGCTCTTATTCTTCCTAATTGCTACTAGTCCAGCAAGCTTAGTATATGTTCATTTTACATGTGTGTGTAAATGTGGAGATGTATGGAAAAACAAATAGATGTATTGAAAAGATTAATGAGGCATATCAATACAAACTAGTAATAGGGGTGTGTTTTGTTTATGAAGAAAGCTATAGCTATATGCTAAATACATTATAAGTTTATATTATCATAATAATGCATTTCTCTCTAGCTATTAATCTAAGCTACAGAATATCACATGTATATTTAATCTTCCTTCAAAGGGATCTAAGCTTATTTACATGTTCTGTACATAGTGTAGTTTTAAGGACATTTTAATATTGGCCACTTATTTTATACTGTCAGAATGTTTTAATGTAATTACAAAGGAATGTAGCTACAGTCTAAGCTTATTTAATCTACATTCTCTCTGTTTGACCTTTCCTGTAGGAACACATGAAAAGAAATCCATACCATTCTACAAAATTCCCAGTGCGAGGGAAAGAGAAAAAAATAACAAAAATTTCAGCAAGAATTATTTTGTGTAGGAACAACTTGCAGTCTGAATCATATGGCAGTGAAAGAAAGACTATAACAAAGATAAATAAATGGCTTTCTTGTTGCTCACTTTCTTAATCCCTTTAAAATAAAATAAATAAGGCATTTCAATGAAATAAATTATTTCCGAAGAGCACAGTACCTTCTGTATGATGACTGTATTTACTTTCAAGTAATAATGCTTAGAGATAGTATGTACAAAAGTCGACATAATTATTTTCTTTATTTGACTATAGTGTCTGGATCTTAGTCAAAGGACAAAGTGCAATTGGTTTGTTTTTCAAGTTATTTCTTATCCCAGTTGCATGTCGGAAAGATCATAGTGTTACTGTTTTAATTTTGATTGTTAACATAAAATTGGAATCCAAAGTAAAGGAAAATTGTGAAAATTAACTTGTTACAAGTATAAGAGAACAAAGCATGGGCATTATGATAATGTAATCACTGAGAATCTGTGAAATAAAATGTATTTTTAAAGACACAAAGTTAATGCTTTCCTTTGAAATCCTCATGTAAAAATTGAAAACACAACTTTAATAGAAGACAGACACAGGTAGCATACGAAGAATTACAGCTTGGGAAATTAATAAAAATAGTATCTAAAACAGTATTAGTAAGATATGAAGCTCATTCATTAACAGTCTCTATGATAATATATCACTGAAAATGTTGCATGAAGGACAGTCTTTGATAGGATTATGTACAGTATAATAGCAAGATACTGGAATTAAAATTCACTGAGAAGATACATCTTGTGAACTGAAGGGTAAGAAGATAATAATGGTAACATTAATAATAGTAAATAACAAGAATAAAATGATTCACATAAATAGAATTTCCATCAGCAACCATTATTGTAATTATGGGAATGATAAGCTAGTAATCTGGAGAAAATAACTAATCTTTATTGATTCATTGTTTAATTTCTTTTTCTTTTAAAGGCTTTAGAACTGCTGTCAATAACAATAATGTGTATATGGGAAAAAGTTAGACCAAGAAAGAATAGAAAAATAATATATTGCATTGTGCAACCTACATCATTTCTAAAGAATCTTTAAAAATACGTTTATATTCTATTGTTAAGGAAAAAGGAAAAATGCATTCAAAACATTTCCCCCTTTTTAAAATGATCATTGTGAGATTTTTTTTTCTTTCTAACACAGTGTATGGGGGTTCCAGAAATGAAGTGGGAAAATGCAGCAATCTCAGCTCTGGCTCTTTAATCACACTGAATTGAGGATTATTCTTCATCAATAACACCTGGGAGAAAAAGACAGGCCATCAGCGGGCTGACCCTACAGCAGCCCTAGGGGCAGTTCCACCGCCACCAGCAAAGTTACAGAGCAGTTATCCAAGGTCCAGATAATAACAGGAACAGCAAACTCGCTTCCTGATGGTAGAAAATAAATTCCATGTTTAGCTCATGATTCTGGCCACCAAGACTCTTCTAGAAAATGAAGGTTAATTTTCTTTTAACATAAATGAAAAGTGAGAATGTGAAATGATGAGTCACGGAAGCACTCCATCGATGGCATTGGTAAGAGGAGAAATTGCTATGAGGTGATTTTCAATTTTCCTACAACTGACACAAAATTCTGGTACAAAATTCAGATCATATGTTTTATGATCTAAAAACATAAGGTATAGTAATTACAGAGGGGAAATAAAATTGTATTTCTATTTGCAATATGTTTTTAGTTAAAATTTAGGTAAATTTTTGTCAACTAAACTCCTACGTGAGTGTTCTTTAGTTATCTGTTAATTATTATAAATTGAAAAGTATTTTTCAGATTCAATTAAACCATTTCCTTTCATTTTGTTCTCCACACATCCTGTCCTGTCCAATCTGCATTTCAGAAACATCTTAGCTCTGTAATCAAAGCATAGTATCTATCAGTGCTGTAAATTTTAGCAGTCTTAATATCAATTTGAACCTGGGAGTTGGTTAGTTCTATGTCTTCTTTCAATTATAGAATTTCTGATTTCTTCCATTAAATACAAGACCGATTGGACTACCTCCCAATCTCCATGTTCTTCTATCCCAAGAGTATATTTGCCACACCTTAAGTCACCTGTAGAGTTTCATGTTTCCACTCCTTCTTCTTCTTCTTCTTTTTTTTTTTTTTTTTTTTTTTTTTGAGACGAAGCCTCACTCTGTTGCCCAGGCTGGAGTGCAGTGGCACAATCTCAGCTCACTGCAACCTCTGCCCCCTGCGTTGAGGCAATTCTCCTGCCTCAGGTCCTGAGTAGCTGGGATTACAGACATGCATCACCACACCAGGTTGGTTTTTGTATTTTTAGTAGAGATGAGGTTTCACCATGTTGGCCAGGCTTCTGACCTCAGGTGATCCACATCAATCTCCCAAAGTGCTGATGTGAGGCACCACTGCCCGGCCCATATTTCCACACTTGTCCATTTTCAACTTATCTCTCACTAGAGTCTCTTACCCTCACTCTCTCATAAGCTTTTCTTTGTCTCCAGTAAACCATACTTTCGTGCTCAAAATCTTTTCACATTATCAATTTGTTTAAATTTTCACTTTCTCCATAATCAGAAACATGGTTTCCCCCAGAAATCATCATAATCTTTACAACTTGTCTTCATTGGTAGTATTTTTTCCTGGTCTTCTAGTGTCTTGAGTAAAGAAAGGAACTGTCATTGTCATTGGCCACCACAGTGGTTTGAAAATAATTGTTCAGTCACTGTGGACTCCTACTCCTCACTCCTTTGACATTCACAACTTACTCTATCAACCTTTTTCCTTCCTTGTCACCATGACAAACCAACCATCCAGGTTCTCCCTGAAGACCTTCCTTAGTGACTTCCAAGTTACTCAACTATTTCTTGAGACTAATTTTGCACGACCTATCTTTAAACAGTATAGAGTTGATGCTGAAGAAGAGAAGTAGGAGTCTAGGACCTAATAAAAGGCCATAATGAAGAAGAAACATGATAACCAATTTATCTATGGCTCTAAATCTGTGACTACTCTGCTTCAATCATTCAATTAATCATCTACTATGTATCTGTTAGCCATATATGGGGCAATTGCAATGCTACAATTGCAATACTGCTACTATTAATTTAATTATTTATCTACTATGTATCTGTTAGCCATATATGGGGCAATTGCAATGCTTCGTGTTTATACACTCCAATAGAGGCATGCATTAAGTAAAGAACATTTAAAAATTGGGAGAAGGAGGCGGGGGTCCAGTTATGCCTGAAGACATATCAGGGGCCTCAAGGAAGCCTTCATAGAGAAGATGATGCTTGAAGCAAGGCTCTGAGGATAAGAAGAATGCCAAGCAGTAAAGAAAGGGAAGACCTTTCAAAGGTAGGAAGACAGGTAGTTCAAACTGTACAGCCATGAGAGAGTAGGCCAATATGGCTGAAATGAAATGTAGGGTACCTAGGAGAAAGTACCAGGAGACAAGTGACAAGATCTCTTCATTTCCTGCCACATTCTCTCATTTGACTTTACTAAGATGCAGATCTGATCACCCCATGCTGATCTTAAAATACTTCAACTGTGTCCCATCAATGTCAGATCTATAGTTTGAAAAAATTAGGAATAGAAGGAATACAGCAGAGAAGAAAGGCAGTGTCATGAGTTTGGAGTCACATTGTGTATTTTCATTCTCCTTAGACATCTTTCTAATCTCTATTCTCTGGGGACTGGTTCAGGCCTTTACTATTTCTTTCCTGGACCTGCAACTGTCTCCTCTCTGGTTTCCTTGCTTCTAGTTTTTTCCTTCTCCATTTTATTTTTCCCTTTCATTCTTAATAACACAAATTTAAACATGTCACTCCAGTTTTTCAATGGTTATGAATTACACGATAAGGTGTAAGCTCTTTAGCTTGACAAAAGGTACTCTTCATGAGATGGTTCTGGTATTTATTCTTAGCCTCGTTTCTTCACTCTCTCTACCCTTAGCAATTTTATTCCATAGATTCTAAATTATCTGCAGTTCCCCAAATAGAGCATGCTATTCCATGCTCCTGCATCTTTGTGGGTGCTGCTCTCTCTGTCTGAAATGCCCTCTTCATCTTATGTGGTGATATGGCAAACTCTTATGTAGTCTTCAAAACCCACATCAGATGATTACTTTTCTATAGCATTGTTCCTGCACACTTCATGTAGAGAATTTTTAATATATAGATTAATAAGATTTATCGATACATTCTCAGTGCTATTTCTGTATCTTATATTTGCAATTATGTTACTAGTTTTCATACCATATCATAATTATTTATCGGAAAGTCTATTTCCCCTTCAGACTGTGAGCTTCTTGAAAGCAGAAGCTAGTATGTGTGTTTATATATAACCTCATGGTTTAACACCATGCTGACATACAGAAAGCAACTAATAAAATATTCAAATGAGTTAAATTGCATTGAATGAAAGAGGGACTTAGAGCTTCTAAGAAAAGTTGAAGGAGGCTTATTTTGTAAAAAGCTACTGTTGGGAGTTCATCATATCTTAACAGTTATATATCTATCTAATCCATTCAAAAGACTGCAAAGCTTTCAAGGACTTTATAAGTACGAGGGGGCAGAAACACAGCAAAAATGTCTCCAAATAATTCAGAAACTACAATTAATTTAAACATCCTGGAAGAATATATTCTGCTTCATTTTGTAGCTTTTCTGCATATCCTCCTTTTCCAAATTTCTATGCATTTTATAATAATACTATTTTTAAAATAATCTACCAAGACACAGCACAGCTCTATCATTTGATTCTCATCCCAACAAGTTGCCAGCAAATCCTTGTGATGACATTTATATGATACAAATTTACTTTTTAACATCCTACATCCTGCTCTTACTGGAGTATTATGTTTGAGTAAAGTGATCAATAGTGTTTAATATAACACAAACTGTATATTTTGCTGTCAGAAAACTCTAACGTGTAGATAAAATTATCATGAATTATCACATTGAAAATTTCTAGGGCCCCTAATAAGCAGATATGGGTCCATGAATTGCACTCATATTTCTTACAGAACTACTGAGTTATGTTCCTGTTTCTTCATCTGGGTGAAATAAAGACTGTATGTATGCATCTGATTCCTTTGAGGGGAAGATACAGGCTTGATTTAAAGAGCCAACTTTCATATTCTTTTGACAATTGCTAATAATTTGGGGCTGTGAAATTAAACATCACTCCTGCTCTGAACATGCAAATATGTATTTTTCCATTTTTGTGTTACTCAATGGTATTCACCGGAGGGGACATTAACATTTGTTTTAACTTTTTAATGAGGAGTGTGTGTGTGTGTAAACATAAGTGTTTTAGTACCTCTGTCTTTCTCATAAAACACACAAAAATGCATGTCCAGAATAAGGTGAGAATATTTAAGAGTAGGAAAGAAGGCATCCATAGAAACAGAATTGATGCATTATAAAAATACACACAAATAGAAGAATCTGTGAATACATAAGAAACAACGATACACTCTAAATGGAGCATGCAATTTTTGAAAGAATAAAGTTCTAAAATCTGGCTGTTCAGACTATTGTTAATTAGATAATTTAAGTACAAAAATTAACTACTGAATTTAAACTATTCCTTTATCTATATTTTATATCTGTTGTTGATTTCCTGTAAGAGCAAAATGATCTTAGAGCTATTTGATTGCTCTACAGTCTAGTCTGGGTGCTTTGTATAAAATATAATACAGTACAGATGTCAACTCAAGAACTAAATAGCACATATTTCTAAAGAACCATAAAAAATATTAACACTATAGAAACAATGACTCTGTAATTACTTTTTGCTGTGGAGTGAGGTTAGGCATTTATCCTAATAGAGTCCTAATACACTTAAAGTCAGATCTGCCCCTGTGGTCCTTTTCCCTTTGTTGATAAATGCATTGTGCAGGTACCTCGCATGGCCACTACAGTATTTGAGGTCATCCTATACTGTTAGCACAAATGGTGTGAACAATAGTTTATATGCCACTTAACTCCTCGGGAGAAACAGTTAACCTTGCTAGAGAGGACAGATCAGTCATGTATAGTTATTAAGGTCCAGAAGGTTTTGTTATGCTCTAAAATAGTTTTGTAAAATCACAGTATACTACTATATAAGGCCTATTCAAGAAGGGAAGCAAAGGAAGAAGAAATCAGCTTCAGAATTTTTATAAAATATGTATACAAAATCGATGATGGAAACTTCCCAAAGATCCATTCCATTAGTGATACCTACACTGCAGGGGTGGCAAACATTTTCCCCTCTAGAAACAGACTTTCTAAAAATATGTTAATGAATCAAGAATAAAGGCTTTGTGGATGTGAAATAAAAAAAGCTTTTGAAAATTCTCAGCTTGCTAAAAGGAATTCAATCTGATCATTTTGTTTAAAGATTTCAGAATCATCTTATTATGTTTTAAGTGACTGCTTTTGCTATAAAATGGAGGACCCTTAATAAATTTACTCCAGGTCATTATCAGACTTCATTTAAAATTAACGTTCAGCCACTGCCCTTAGTAACTATGTATTTTTAATATCAAGGGTCATCTGATGATACTCTCAAAATGAGTCAGCTGAGAACACCTAGACAGACCTTCAGTTTTCCTACTTATAATAAAACCATAAGGTGCTTGCAGATCCTTACTTTTGGCAAGTAAAGGATATTCAGGAAAACATTAATGAATTTATTTTTTATATTGAATAGTACCATATTTCATCTTTTTTTCTGAAATAAATTAAAATGTTCTTATAATATTTGGCAAATGTTATATTTGCAAAATATAATATTTTATATACTTTTAAATATAAGCAGAAAAGCATGAGATGAGCAATAGTTTTTTAAAAGGTCATGGTACCGAAGAGTAGATGATGGAAAAACCTTTGTTTCTCATAGCCTCAATAAAACAGTTGTGCAATGGTTTTCTTGTGTATCATTAAACTAGTAACAAGAAAAAGTGCATTTACATGGCTTTTTCAAACAGTAGAAAAAGAAATCAGTTTACCACAGCTGCTATTTAAATATCTTCTAACTGGCAAAATTAAACCATGTCTCTTTATTTATTTATTGCACTTGTAAAAAGATTAATGGGGATGTGATTCCTCGAGGCTTTTACATATAACCCCTTCACAAAGAACAAAATTATACAGTTTGGCAAATGAACTAAATTAGCTACATTTATTTAAATAATCACTATAGAGGAAACAATAAATCAACAACATTCTGCACAAAAAAGTGTTTACAGAGTGTCTTGTAATTTGTTTTATCAAGGACACAGACTTTTTGCTCTTAGCTAATCTTGCTTCTAACAGTCTATTATCACATCAACCCTTAATGAGTATTTGCAATAGAAATTTAGCTGAAGCTTAGGAACAGAGAAGTAAGAATAACTTCCACCTTTGTCATTGGCCCAGTTGCTCTGAAATACATTCTTCTAATAAACATTTTGTCAAAGGTTCCTAATAACTTCGGAGACAATCAAAATTAAATGGCAGAGCTTTGTTAAATTAGGAAAAGAGATGATTTGAATGGTCATAATCATGCAATTATCTCAGCCTCTCTATATTTCAAAGGGCTCTGTCCATATCTGGGTCTATATCAGAAGTAAGTGAGTAGGGGGAGCTCTAATGCTGAACCTGTGATATATTCATAAATCAGGACTTTCAGAGCCTGTCACAGGCACCATAATGAGGGTCATTATTCAGGCAGAGTGTCAAAACTACTATCAAAGGACCTTCTCAGAATTACAATCATTCTGTTTCTTGTTAAATAAGCAATGGAGTACACAAAAATGGCAAACAAGAAGCAGGTCAATTTGATACAGTGTGAGGGCACAGAGATCTCTAGAGTAATTTACCCTCTGGGAATTCTGATGGCTGGTTAGATGAATTATACACACCCTCACAAAAGATTAATGGTAATAAAAGCCCTGGAAGATTTTCACCAAAAAAGCCCTACAAATTGCTCATAAGCAACTTAAGAAACAAAGCTGGAAAAAAAATATTAGTTTTGTTTTTGTTAAACCTGCAACCCCTTAAGTTAAAAAATATCATCATAGAAAATTGTCAGTTGTACACCAAAAAAAGTTTATAAATCCAATTAATATAGTGTTTGGTCATTCAAACAGTAAAATTTTACACCAGGAAAATGTTCACTCATTTTATCTTAAACACATTACCACATTATAAGATTCTGGTAGACTTACACATATAGAAGCATGCATCCTTATATATCCCTTAAATATACATATAAAACCCTAAACATCACATAGTAATATAGGGAAGTAACAATTTCCTGCAGTTTGTATTTCTCTGGTAAACACGGTGATGTAGTTGGAGAAAGATATAGCAAGTAGGCTTTTACATGCTTTCATTCTTTATGTATCAAAAAGACAGAAACTAGTCTTTAGAATTATACAGATATTAAGTGTTTAAGTAAATGTATATACACCTCAAATTTCAGGTGAAATTAGTATCTCATATCCCTTTATACACCCTACTGAGTAAATGCTTTAACACACCAGGAAAGCATGTCATCAATAAGACGTTTCATAAAAATATGAGTCTATGCGGGCAAGAGTTTGGGGAAATTTTATCTACCTGTTGAGAGTAGAAACTCATATAATCTGTTTGGAGGGATAATTTGACAGTGTGAATAAATGTCTTTAAAATATTAAAATCTATATTCAAACTTTATCTTGTAGAAAATAGTTTGAAGGATATAATGATGTACCAATAAAAAATCAGAACTCTAAATATCTCAAAATAAAAGATTTGTTAAACCTGTTACATTTGAGCCAAATGAGGAAATACTATATATCCACTGAAAAGATGCTATGGAAAAATATTTAAGATTGTGATGAAATTTTCGTTAAACATTGCTAAGCAAAGAGATTTAAAAATAAAATCAAGGACTGGATGATGATAACTCTGATATAAATGGCAATAATTTTCTTTTTGTAGTTTTATGTATGTTTCAAACTTCATGCAATCAACAACTATTAATTTTATCATATATAAATATTACAAGTATATTGCATGATTATTTATATATTTATAAAATAAGATTTTTATTTTAAAAGAAAATTTTGAAATCTAAGCAGTAAGTCTTTAAAAAAACATCTAAGTAGACAACATTTTCTACTACAAATGAAGAATTTTTTTTTACAACTTTTTCAATCAAATGCACATTTAAAGAGGTAATAGTTGTATTTAACACATAATTTCCATAGTCAGGACTGCTTGCAATCCATAGATTCAATGATTCCAGCTTTTGAAAAGCCAATAGTCTTTGCTTGATGCAAACTTTTATATGAAGACTTGTACTTATATTATGTAATCTTGGAAAAAACTATGTTGAAAGGAAGAGAAAGTGAGATCTCTGAAATCCTTAAAAATTATTTTAATTCTTATGTTTCGTTTATCTCCATATACTTTTACTATTGAATTCAAATACAACTCCTACTAAAAACAAAGAAATTGATCTAAAAAATAATTTGTCAGTTTTTAAAGGCTTCATTTTTTAAGCCTGTTCTTAATGGCTACAAAATAGGATTATCACAATCAGATAAAGTGGATTTGACAAAAGAGGGCAGAGCACAGTCTTAGCAATTGATACGTTATTTTAAAAATGGTTAGGTTTAATCATCAAGCTAATTTACTAATCAAAAATGAAAATAAAAATAATTAAAATCTTGTCTATTAGATACAGAGGTATTCCAAGAGACTTTAAGAACGTTTGGGGACAAGAACTGGTAGCATTGCTTTTAAAGGAACATGAACTTCACAATAAGTTAAAATAAAAATAAATTCCAATCCAGGTTTCACTATTTGTTTCCTCTGCAGCTTTGAGGTACTCAATTTCCTTGAGTCCAATTTTCTTACGTGTAAAATGGAGATAATGCCATTCTCTTCCCTACAAGTGTGGGTGTATGTGTGTGTATTCACACATATTTCACCGACTTCTATATTTCCTGAAATTTCAGATTTTATTTAGAACACTTAAAGAAAACATTCAGGATTACGTAAAATACTGTAGTTTATATAAGACTTGGAATTATAGCTGCTGTTTTAAAAACTGTTCATCAATGATTACTTCTCATTTCTTTTTAAATGATGTTCTCCAGCTATTCAAAAGAATTATAGTAGGTTGATATCTATTGTGAAACCAAGAAATCCTGAAGAAGATATTAAATAAAATAAGATCGATTTATGTTTTATCAAGTGTTTGTAGTGGTCAGATCCAAGTAAAGACAAAGCCAAACATTTGGTCAAAAGTTCATTTTTACCCAAGCTTTCATGAGTGGAAATTGAAAGTACATTGCTGAATCTTTTAACATCTCCCTGTCAAACTGAGTATTCTGTGACAATAAATCCTACCTTGTCCAGACTTACTCTTTAAGTAAATTGGTATCAATGAAATAATCAAAAGCAAACCAATTATGTTCTGGCATCTTTTATCCATCTGTTTGGATTTAACTGTCTATTAAATGGTGTTTGCATATGAGGAAATGCTCTATTGTATGCAGAGGTACTCAATTATTTAGATTATACATTTGAATAAACTGTGCAGTGGAAGGACTACCCTTGTAATGTAGGACAATTACATTCTCTTGCACAGTTTACAGATTATTAAACGAATATCAATTCGACCCACACTACCAGTTACTGGATTCTAACCTTTGCCCTCGAGACTTAGCTACTTTGAGGGTCTAGTTTCTACCCCAACAATTAGCAACCTGTGTCAATCATTTCAAATTATACCAAATTATGCAAATTGGTTTTGGGAAAGGGATTGTATAAGAAGAGACCACAAAAATTTAATTTCAATAAAGTTGATAGGTGAGATTTGTAGCTGCTTGCTGCTGCTTGAAGACTTCCAGCTATCTGTGGTTAATAAGCAGTGTGTCTCTTGTTTCAGAGTGGCTTTCCCTCACACATGTGAGTAGAAGCCTCAGCCCAAGCCTCCCATAAATAGGGGTGTCAATTCAACCTCAGCTGGGCACCTAGGAAAGGCAACGAAGATTTCCTTTAATAGAATATATTTATTTAACTTTCCCAAAAATGGCACTAGGTCATTAACATATACATTCATCATGGCATGTAATATATAATAAATACAACAAACTATCATGTTTAAACTCTATATTCATAGAATTCAATTTTATTAAGCATATTCAATGAGATAATTTTTTCTCACGCATTGTGCTTTTCACTTACAAAAAGAGTGTGTATTTACCATAACAAGAAAAACAGAAATACTGCTCTCTCCAATCCTACCTGCCACGCTCTTATAAGTTTGGTGTGGATGTGGATTTTTTATGTTCATAAATGTGAGCATAATTTTAAATATCTATATTTTATAAAATAGGATTAAAGAAGTTGGGAGAACATAAGATGTAGATAATGGCAAATTGGTGACTTGATCTCCCAATACGACTGGTTTGGAAAATTGGTTGTAACGCTGTCTATTATTTTCGTATACCCAGTCTTCACCACTTGTTTATATTTTCCCCCTGGCCACAGAATGAATTTGAGATTGCTGTTGGAAACTCTTGATTGTTAAACTGTTTTTGTTTTAATAGATAAATTGAAGGTCACAGAGGTTAAGTGGATACTCAAGATCATACAGAGAGTTAATGACACATAGGGAAGTAGGACTGTGTATTCTTAAGTCTTTGTTCAGTGCGTTTTTCTCTAATCTCCACTGGTTCTTACATCATGAATAGGCAAGCTGGACTTTTCACGTCATTTTTCTCTTATGCTTCATTTAAATGATGCAAACTCTAGAAATTCTTATATTAAAGTGTGTTCCAACCCTTAAATGTACAAAGGAAAAATGTTTTCCTTCTAATAAAAATTGAGTCTCCTCAGACCACAGACTATATTTATTCATTTTTATATATCCAATACTGATGATCAGTTTTGTTTGTCAACTTGGCTAGGCTATAATACAGTTATTCAATACATGCTAATCTAGACGTTACTATGAAGGTATTCTTGTAGATGTGCTTAACATGTATTCTCAGTTGATTTTTCATAAAAGAGATTATCTGGATAATCTGGGTGGCACTGATCCAATCAGCTGAATGGCCTTAACAGTAGAACTGCAGAAGTTTCCCATAGACTGCCATGTCGGCTCCTATCCAAGAGGTTTCAGTCTGCTCTTCCTGACAGCCTGTCCTACAGATTTTGGACTTGCCTAGCCTGCCCACCACAATCATATATGTAATATTTCAAGAAGTTAGCTTATATATGTTATAGATATATATAAATACTTGCTACAATAATCAGTAAATATTTTGTTTTCTAAATTTATGAATGTATGAATAACTATTGTTTCATTAAAAATATATTTTTTGATTTGAAGTGTTATCGTATTATAAAACATTTTGCTAGTTTTTCTAATACATTTAAATTCATTAATATTCAAAAACAAGACTCCTTCATGTTTGAGGAATTGGATGGATCATATATTATTAGGAAATATATCTCATTGTCTATCATGAGTTAAGTGGACTCACTTCCTTGGTTACCTAAATTGTAGGAGGAGACGACTTTTAGAAAATAATATTTGCTGGAAAGACTGTACATTTCTGTAGTCTACTCTCAGCTGCTGAAGAGGAATCTGGTTAAATCTTCCCAGATCTGGTTAAATCTTCTTGGACCATTATGAATCCCTTATTTTAAATCTCTAGTGTTGTAAAAAATAAAATAGCAGTATCTTCCAAGGATTGTATTGACTGTAGTAGCTTTTTGAAGTAAAGATCTGGCATATAGATTACTCAGATTCTTTCTCTCATTAATTCAAATTCTTATATATTTTTCAATGGGGTGGGGATATTCAAAAGTTTTCCTAGTGACAACTCAATTACTTCATTTTGTTACTCATCAGCTCTCCCATAAGATCAATGACAATGTCAGGATTACTGCCACAAGCAAACAACCAACCCTCCTTCATGACTGAGAGATGGACAAATGCAGGTCAAGTCTTTTCATATAGTTCATCAAATACACGGCTTTGCTAAGGGATCCCATTGTCATACTTGTTCCAACTGACAGAATATATAACTCTTCATAAAATCTGTCCCGTATTCATGAGTAAATGAATGTATACGAAATAAATGACTAGCTGCACAATCAAGATTTTTTACACTACAATTATTTGCATTTCCAATAAACGTTGACTGCATACCATAGTCAGGTAATGTGAGGGTGGCAGGTGTGCTGAAGATGATTCTGATTCATAATTCATGTAACTCAAGGTGCACTTGTGCACATCAGACCACATAATGCTGTTTATCAGAAATGTTCTGGGACAGCAAAACAGTTAGGTAAACAAGGCTTTGTGTAATCAGGGGAGTTTCAGGGTAATTGATTCATGTCAAGAGACATAACCTAGATTTGGATAGGAGGTAGTTGCGAATTGAAGATTTAGGATCTGAGGAACTTTAAATACACAAACACAGGATTCCCAAATTTCATTAGCAACATTAATGTGTATGTTGGTTTGCATTTTAAACACATCAAAATAAGTTATTTGGAATCCTCAGGTAATCCCTGAGACAGTGAAAAATTTAAAACATAAACATTCAAATGTTTGACTAAACAGGGATTTTTAAATATAATTTCTATTGAGGCTAAATTCAGGCCACGGTGAAATAAAGAATCTGCTGGTATATGGGAATTTGGCCTGTATTGCTGGGTTCCCCAAATTCATGCTTTAGTCTTCAAATATTAAAATAATTCTGCCCACAACAAAGCTTTCTACATAATTACTCATTCTGCACTTCAGTTTTTCCTGTTTATTCCTGCAGTTTGAATTCTAACATGTGGTTGATGATTGCTTTGCTGATTGATTTCCTGACAAACTTGGGGCTTTCTGATGTTCACTGTGTTTCACTTCATGGGTATATAATTCTTTCTTCTACAAGGAATAGTAGTCTATTCTATATTGCTATTATACCAAGAATCATAGGCATTGAGTTGGAGATTGACTATTTAGAGATGTAAATTTTACTTAAAATGATCCCTACATCCCTTTTTAGGTTTAATGACATCTCCACACTCTGGCATAGGAATGAGTCCATTGGCCAGATTCACAGCCCTTATTTCTGTCTCTGAAAGGTGGCCCACTGAATTCCTTGGCCTCACCTAACATAGATAGTTGTGGGGAGATCCTTCTTGGGGATAGCACAGCAGTAGCAGGTGACTTCCTGTTGGAGTAACTTTGGTGGCCTGAGAATTGTTTTAGACATTGAACAGTCTTTCTATGCAGTCTTGGGGTTTCTTAAATAATACCATTCTCTCTAATATTGAGAAGATTTTTAGTCCATCTACTTTCTATCAAGTGCATTGGATAATAACTAGAGCCAAAGGTTTTGTCTAATAAAGTCTTTTGATTTCTGTGTTTAAGCCACTAGCATCAGTGATGTACCCATTCCTACTTTAATGCACAATCCTTAGTTTAATATATTTTGATTTAATTTAATGTCTGGCTTTGTTATTTTTAAGGTAAAATATATCATGACTTCATATTGATTTTCCAATTCAATGTTAACGCTTCATGAATTTTCTTAATTTTTTTAATCTCATATGCCTATTTCCTGGTATTTAAGAAGCCTCACTCTCAAAGAAATGAGGAATAGAGAATTAAAACAATTTACGCACACAACAATCTCAGAATGGCAATAGAAACACTATGACCAATTATATGCCTATGGAAAACAACCTAAGAATTTGTTGCATTTCTGTATATCACACTAGGAATGTACCGTCAAATTATTGTTTTAAAGACACTTACAGTTTTTGTTTGTGTGGTTTTGCCAGCAACTCAATATAAATTTAGGTTCATTTATTTTCACTTACTTTTGAGTTTTTAGAAATTACTTTTTAAAATCAAACTTTTTGCTAATGTAAAATATTTACAGAGTTCCAAAATTAAATCAACAAAAGTAGGTGCATTTAAAGAAGACTATCATTTAACACTGTCTCCCTCACCTTATTATTTCCCTCTTACTTTAGGTGACCACATTTGATAGCATCCATTTTTTTGATACTTATACATTCATATTTGTCTCCCTATTTTTTGGATAATAGTTGCATACTATTAGTTGCATATCTGTAAAATATATTAAATATTTTCATATCTGTAAAATACAATAAATGACAAAAGCTACTTGGAGAAAAATCATTTAATACATTTTACAGATAACTCCTTAGTAGAATATAAAGACATTCCTTATTCTTTCTATGGCTGCATAATATTCTACTATATAAAGCTATGATGGATAATTAAATTTACTATTAAAAATATTTGAGTAATTCCTATCTTTCTATTATAAAGAATCACTCATACATATGTATTTTTATATTTTTTTCAGTGCGTCTTTGGGATAGATTTCTAGAAGAAGAATTAATGATTCCAAAGACACACTGGTAATATATGCAAATGCCTACTTCTCACTCTAACCTTGCCAACATAAATTATCAAACTTTTGGATTCATGCCAATAAATAGATGAAAAACATTGGCATCTTGGTGTAGTTTTAATTTGCACTTCTCTTAATTTGTGTAAAGTTAAATGCCTTTTGTATATTTAAGTAGTATTTATATTTCTTGTAAACCATTCATTCACTAGACCACTTTATATATAGTTGTCATTGTTTTCTTCTGTTTCTGTAAAAACAAAATTTGTATTTGGAAATCGTAACCTTTTGGCCATGACATATATTGCAAATGTTTTCCCTGGTTTATCCATTTGCTTTTTACAGTGTTTATAATACCTTGTGCCACCTAGAGGTATATGCACTTCTGCATGGCAAAATAATATGTATTACATTATGTGTAATATGTACAGATTACTTGTGTATATATATGTGAATTATATGTACATATGTAAATTTCTAAGATATTTATGAAGCCACAGTTACATAAATAAATAATCAGATGAATAATACAAGGAAAAAAAACAAAATTTTTTACAGAAAAATTTCCAATATTAAATGTAAATTCTCTCCCCTGCTCCAGGAGGTGGAGCTTAATTTCCTTCATCTTAAATATGGACTGGATTTACTAATTTGCTTTTAACAATAAAAAATAGGAAGGGAAAAGGACTTTACTCAGGAGAAATTCATCAGACATCCCCTCAAGCAAGTAATCAAGATTACTGTCACCACCGGTGATAAGTCATGTTGATATTGTGTACCCTCTGATATAATATGATGAACAGGGCAATTCACTTCTGTAGTGTTCTTCCCCAAAATCCATAACTCCAGTCTAATCATGAGAAAATATCAGACAAATTACAATTGAGAAACATTCTAAAGATGCCCAACAAGAACTCTTCAAAATGTCAAAGTCATGAAAAACAAGGGAAGACTGAAAAATTGTCACATATTTGCAGAAACAAAGAAAACATGGTGAATAAATGCAATGTGGTGTCCCAGATGAGATTTTGGAACAGAAAAAGGACGTTAATGGGAAAACTGGTGAAATCTGATTAAAGTCTGTAATTTAGTTAATGGTGTTGCACTAATGTTAATTTCTTAGTTTTAACAAACTCACGATAATTATGTAAGATGCCAACATCAGGGGAAGCTAAGTAAAAGAATATATAGAAACTCTCTGTACCATGTGCAACTTTTCTGTAAATCTAAAAGTATTTCAAGATTAATTTTTTTAAAAAAGAAAGCTTGAGAATAATAAAAATTACTTGGATAAGAATTTTACTAAAAAAATAAAAGCATAATGACAATACTACATACAGGGACAGAATGAAAGAAAAATATTTATAGTCTCTCTCTCTCTCTCTCTCCCTCCCTCAACAGATGATACATAGATAGATAATCGATAGACAGATAGGTGATAGACAGATGATAGATAGATTGATATAGATAGATGATAGATAGACAAAAAGCCCCTACAAATCAATAAGAGAAAGGCAAACAATCTAGTACAAAACTAGACAAAGTATATGGATTGGAAAGCAAATACAGAGAGATAAATACCTATAACCAATATTTCTACAAGAGGATTCTGAATAATTAGAGAAATGCAAATTGGCAGGGCTCGGTGGCTCTTGCCTGTAATACCAATACTTTGGGAGGCCCAGGCAGGCAGATCACTGGGGAATTCAAGACCACCCTGGGCAACATGGTGAAACCTTGTCTCTACTAAAAATACAAAAATTATCCAGTTGTGGTGGTGGGCACCTGTAATCCCAGCTACGCGGGAGGCTGAGGCAGCAGAATCACTTAGACCTGGGAGGAGGAGGTAGCACTTAGCCGAGATCAAGATCACACCTCTGCACCCCAGGCTGGGTGACAGAGTGACACTCTGTTTCAAAAAAAAACAAATTAAAAGGAATGCCAATAATGAGGATTCGGGGACATAAGAATTCACCCATATGGCTGGAGGAAAGGAAATTGATTCTCAACATTTTAGAAGGCAATGTCAAGATCTATCAATATTTTAATTTGGAATATTCTTTATTCAACAGATCAACAATTGGGAATATATTCTAGAGAAATGTTCTTACTCATGCACATGGGTATATGGATGGTAATTATAATTTTGGTTCAGAAAATTACAAACAATCTAAATATCCATAAAAGGGGAAATAGTCATAAAATTGCAAGTAATCTAAAGGTTTGTAGTAGGGGAATTTAAAAGAAATAAGTACATGAGTATATAAAATAACATGCAACTCTTAAAAGTAGGAAAGAGAGATAATATTTTGTTGTCTTTTTCCTTCCGTTAATATTATTGTCCCTGTAATTTCCAAAACATATAAGCAACAAGCAAGGGGGATGAGTGATGATACAAGTAATCCACTTATTTTCTGATTACTTATTTGGTCAAGATTTATATGTTCACAAAGTAAGTTAGATAATAAACATTTGCTTTTTGAGCTGATAAATATTGAGATAATTTGTTACACCATAGTAATTAACTAATACATTCCATCTATGTCTGAGTCAATGTCATGCTGTTTTAATTACAGAGATGTTACACTATGTTTTTGTTGCTCTTCATTTACCAAGACTTGAAAACTGCAGCAAGGTAGTTTTCAAGACTACCCTTGCAGATTCATGAAATTGCATCATATACTTACATTCTCTAGCTCCTGAGAGAAACATAATGGTATTTTTTATTGGGGTTACATTAAATGTATAAATTAACTTAAGCAGAGTCACCACCTTTACATTAAATATTCCCATCAACATATATGACAAATTTCTCCATTTATTCCCAGTCTAGTTTTGTGTCTTTAGGAGTGTTTTCTAGTTTTCTTGTAAATATTTTGTACATTTCTTGTTAAATTTATGTCCATGTCGCTGTATTTTTTCCTCTTGACTATGATAGATGAGGACTTTTCTTGAATTATTTCTTCTTCTTCCTCTCCTTCTCCTTCTTCCTCTTCCTCTTCCTGTTCTTCTTCTTCTTTCTTTCTTTTGACTTTTAGGTATGAAAATTATTGATTTTTGGTATGTTAATTTTATAACCTGCAGGGGTTACGCAGAATAAGGGCCCTCCTTACAGATGTCTGCATCCTAATCCTCAGAACCTGCAAATATATTAGATTAAATAGCAAAAGGAAATTAAAGTTGCAGATAAAATTAAGGTTGCTAATCAGCTGGCCTTAACATAAGGCTATTATCCTGGTTATACAGGTGGGACCAATGTAATTACGAGAGTTCTTAAAATGGAAGTGAGAGGCAGAAGAGTCAGTGTTAGAGTGGTGTGATGTCAAAAAAAAAAAAAAACTAATTAGCTATTTTAGACTTTGAAGATAGAAGGGGCCACAAGAAAATGAATGAGGGTGACTCCTAGAAGCTGAAAATGGCATGAAAGTGGATTTTCCCTGAGAGCCTCCAAAAGGTACACAGTACTGCCAATATCTTGATTTCAACCCAGTGAGATCTAGATCTGTAAGATAGTACATTTCTATTGTTATCAGCTGCTTTGGTAATCTGTTACAACAGCAAAAGACACTAATACACCTGCAAATTTATTAAAATTTTCTAATTTGTCAATTCTCAGTGGTTTTCCTTTTGCCTGCTTTAGGTTTTGCAGATATATAATCATGTCACCTGAAAATATATCATTTTCAATTGGTGTAATTCTGAGAGTGTTTTGGCTAATATCCTCCAAAACAATAATATATTAAAATGGGTGTAATGAGCATCCTTGTTTTGTTCCTGGATTTACTTGAAAACCCTCTAGTGGCCTCACACTAAGGAGCTAGATTTTAGTTTAAAGCATATGTATGTTACAAAGAAAGTATCCATCAGTTCCTATTTCATTTAGTATTTTCAATAAATGATGTTAGATTTTTTTTCAAGTGTTTCTCTGTATCTAGGGTGATAACGAAATGAATTTGCTCCTTAGTTCAATAAATAAGATTATATTCTGTTTGCAAATGTTTCACTAAAGATTTTTACTTTTAAAATACATAGTATTTTTACATATTCATGGAGTACATGTGATATTTTGCTACATGCATAGAATGTGTTATGATAAAGTCAGGGTATTTAGAATATCCATCACCTGGGCTGGGTGCAGTGGCTCAGGCCTGTAGTCCTAGCACTTTGGGAAGCCTAGGCAGGTGGGTCACTTGAGATCAGAAGTTCAAGACCAGCCTGTCCAACATGGTGAAACCCTGTCTCTACTAAAAATAGAAAAATTAGATGGGCATGGTGGTACGTTCCTGTAATCCCAGCTACTCGGGAGGATGAAGCACGAAAATCACTTGAACCCAGGAGGCAGAGGTTGCAGTGAGCTGAGATCGTGCCACTGCAGGCCAGCCTAGGTGACAGAGCAAGACCTTGTCTAAATAAATAAATAAATAAAATAATAAACATTACATGGATCATTTATCATTTCTATGTATTGGAAATATTTCTAGACGTCTCTTCTAGCTATTTGAAATACAATACATTGTTGTTAACTATAGTCACCCTATTCTTCTATGGAATATTAAAATTTATTTCTTCTAGCTAACTGTGTGTTTGTACCTGCTATCCAACCTCTTTTCATCCTCCCCACCCGTAAAAACACACCCTTCCCAGCTTCTGGTAACTATCATTAATAATTTTTACTTTAATATTTATGAATGAGGTTTATCTGTAGTTTTATTTTTTGATTTATTTTCATCATTCTAGATTTTGAAATCATTATTACACTTCCTTTTCAAAGGTATTTTGAAATAAATATTGATATATGCTACAACATGGATGAACTTGAAAAACAGTATGCAAAATAAAAGAAGACACAAAAGACCACAAATTGTATGAATTAATTTATATGAAATGTATTAAAAAGGCAAATCTCTAGAGCTGGAAAGTAAATTAGTAGTTGCCTAGGGCTAGCAGTGAGTATGAGGATTAGCTATAAATGGGCAGGAGAGATCAAATTAGAGTGATGGTAATGTTCTCAAACTTGACTGTAGTGACAAGAACACAACTTAGCAACTTACAAAAAATTGTTATATTTTACATTTAAAAGGAAGATGAATTTTATGGTATGAAAATTATACTTCAATAAAGTTGCTAAAGACACAAATTTTTGAAAATTTAAATGTATTCTACAAAAACATTAAGTTTTGTTTAATGGAGAAAATAAAGTTGGAATTTTTCTTCCTTTCTATGCTGTAGAATCATTTAAGTAGAATGGAAAGTATCTGATAAATAATTGGTGGGATAACCAACAGAAATACTGGGTCTGGTGATTTATTGTTTATTGGGGTGGGGAAGTAGGGGGAGCTCTTTAACAGTTTTTTTGGTTTCCTGTATTATGATTCACCTGTTTAGATTTTCTCTCTACTTAGGTCAATTTAGTTAGTTGTGTATTTCTTTTAAAAATTATTTTTTTCTAGGTTTTAAACTATATGTAAATATATTCTTTATCTTATAATGTAAGTAATTATTCATCATATAATTGTTTTCCTCATTATTGTTAATGTTTGTGGGTTTTTTCCTTTTTCCCTTGATTAGGTTAGATAATATTTGGTCGGTTTTGTTGATCTTATTTCAAATAATGATATCTGGATTCACAAAATATGTCTTGGTAGTGGTTATTCTTAGTAAATTATCCTAGGTATGCATTGTGAGATTTAAATATGTGAGATTACACAAATACATTTGTGTGTGTGTGTATGTGTGGTGTGTGTGTATTATATATGTGTGTGTGTGTATATATATGTACGTATGTATGTATGTAAGAAAGATTCTTGAGTTTTGAACTTCAGTAATTATTCTGCTCCACTGCTTTGGTTTTCATCTTTGAGGAAACCTGTTGTACATATATCACATCTTCTACATTCTCTCTCTGTGAATATCTCTTGAAACTTACTAACCCTTATATTATCTTTTTAGATAACTTTATTGGGGCATAATTTATATACCAAAAGTTCACTCACTTTAAGTGTAGTGTTTCATAAATTTTAGTAAATTTATAGAGTTGCACAAAATCACCACGGTCCAATTTAAGAGTACTTTCCTCATACTAAAACCTTTCCTCACGTCTGTTTGCCATCTCTTCCCTCAGGCAGAATCAGATACCATAAAACTGCTTTTACTCTATACGGTTTTGCATTTAATAGGATTTTTACCTAAATTAAATCATGCAATATGTACCTTTTTGTGTCTGTCTGCTTTCACATCGTATAATATATGTGAGGTTCATTTGTGTTACTGCATGTAGGTTGTTTCTTTTTGTTACTGAGTAATATTCCATTGTATGAATATGCCAGATTTTACTTATCTACTCATCAGTTAATAGGCACCTTGATTGCTAGCAATTATTGGTTATTACATATGGTGTCGCTATGAAAATTTGGCACAAACTAACACCTGGCAATGTAAGTCTCCTAGTCATAGCCATTTTTAGTGAGTATGTAGTAATATCATATTGTGCTTTCAATTTGCATTTTTTCTAATAAATAATGATTTTTAGAGTCTTTATTGTGCTCATTAGCCATTATATCTATTATTTGGTGAACAATAGTAAATATATTTAGCCATTATTATTGGGATGTCTTTTTTTTTGAAGAGTGAGAGGTCTCTACACATTTTCAATACAATCCCTTACCAGATATATCATTTGCAAACATTTTCCCAGTATGGATTGACATTTTATTTTATTTTATTTTATATCATTTATTTAAAAATAGAGACAGGGTCTTGCTCTGTCACTTAGGCTGGAGTGCGGTAACACAATTATAGCGCACTGCAACCTCAAACTCCTGGACTCAAGCAATCCTCTCACTTCAGCCTCCTGAGTAGCTGGGACTACAGGCACATGCCACTGCACCCAGAATTTTATTTTTTATTTCTATATATGTTAAGGTCAAATCTCACTATGTTACCCAGCCCAGTCTCAAACTCCTAGCTTCAAACAATCCTTCCACCTTGACCTACTGCAGTGCTGGGATTACAGAAATGAGCCACAACACTCAGCCCTGAATTGTCATTTTATTTTCTTGATGTATCATTTTCTTTTTAAAGCATGCATTCAGTATGAGATCTAAGAGATCAATACCTAAACTAAGGTATATATATAAAATATATATTATACATTATATATAATATAGATTTTATATATTATATATTATATCAATATATATTATATAACAATATATATTATATATTATATCAATATACATTATATCTATATATTATATATACCTTATTGTGTAGATAGATAGATAGATAGATAGATAGATAGATAGATAGATAGATAGATAAATCCCATGTAATTTTTCTAGAAATGTTTTACTGTTAGCTCTTATATTTAGGTCTATGGCACATTTTAGCTAATTTTAGTGTATAGTATAAGACAAGGGGCTCAGTCTGTAAAAAAAAAATTCTTCTTTGTTTTGTTTGGTTTTGGTGCCTTCCTGCCGTTTTTCCTTCCTTTCTTTTTTTTTTTTTGTTCTTTCATTCATTCTTCTTTCTTTCTTTTTGGATATGAATATCCAATGGTACCGACACCAATTATTGAAAAGATAGTTTTGCCCATTTAATTGGTAATTCAGTTTATTCTTTTAAAAACTAAATTGGCTTCACATGTGAGGGTTAACTTCGGAGCATTCAATTATCTTCCACTGATCTATCTTCCATTGATCTGTATATGTATTCTCATGTCAATCACAAACTTCCAATTACTCTAATTTTTTAGAACATCCTGGAATATGTTATAATGTCTTCCAACTTTGTTATACTTTTTCAAAATACCTATGAATATTTTAGGACGTTTACATTTCACATAGATTTTAGGATCAGAATATTCATTTCCACAAATAAAAAAAGAAAAAGAACACCCTCTATATTTGTATAGAGAACATAGAGATATCATAGGGATTTATAGATTACTTTGAGAATATTATCATAATATTAGGTCTTTGAATCTATAAATATAGTATAACTGACTATTTAGATCTTTGTTTTCAGCAATATTTGTAGTTTTCAGTGAGGTAGTAGAAAAGAAAACTCCAGACCTCATTTCCCCATGGAGACAATGATTTCACAATGATATATTTTCAGAAAGTCTTTATGAGAACTCTAGAAGCCAGTTAAGAAGTCAGAGTACACCAGGCGAGCACAAAGCCAAGAACAGTGGCATTGAAATGAAATGCTGGTGGGGAGCTGGCCTACTTTAAATGTCGACAAGCTGTTAAAAATGAAGGAGAGCTCATGAGTTTGTTACTGAACCTGAGAACATACATTACCACAAATAGACATGAGAGAGAGAGAGTAAGAGCTCCTGAAAAAGAAACTGATAAACACCTCTTTTAATTGGGAAATTACAAACCCCAGTCCAGAAAAAGTGAATCCCCATAAAATATTTGAGAAGCCCCCAAAATCTCTAGCAGAGTTGACTGGCAAAGGCCATTATCTGTGCAAATCCAGTCCTTAAAAACTAGTAGAAGTGATTGTTTCTTCAAATGCAAAAATCTCCGAAAAAATAAGAAAACATACAATGAAACAGGGAGACATGGTCCCATGAAAAAAGCCAATTAAATCTCCAGAAACCTACCGTAAAGAAACGGGTATTTATGAATTACCTGACAAATAATTCCAAATAATTTTATTTACTAAACTGATGTCAAAAATTTCTTAGATATGATATCAAAAGCACAGGCAACAAAAGCAAAAATAGACAAGTTGGACTATATCAAACTTAAATATCTCTACACAGTGAAGAAAACAATCAACAGAGTGAAAAGTCAACCTATAGAATTGAGAAAATATTTGCAAACCATATATCAGATAAGTGGTAATATAAACCATATATTAAAAAATACTCCAGCTACCATATGATCCAGCAATACCTCTAGTGGGTATATATCCAAAAGAACTGAAAAACAAGATCTTGAACACACTTATATTTGTTGCCCCATTATTCACAATAGCCAAGACATGGAAGCAACATAAATGCCCATGGACATGATGGTGGATAAAGAAATTTGGTATATACTTGCAATAGAATAGTCTCTAGCCTTTTTTTTTAAAAAAAAAAAAGAGAGATCCTGAAATATGTTACAACATAGATGAACCTTGAAACCAGTAGCAAAAGCACAAATAATACATGATTCCACTTACATGAGGAATCTAACAGAGGCAAACTCTTACAAAAAGAAAGTAGCATGATGGTTGACAGAGGCAAGAGATAATGGAAAGGGGGAGTTGTTCAATGGGTATAGAGTTTTAGTTTTGTAAGGTGAAAAAGATTTAGATATTTGTTATACAACAGTGTACATATAGTTAACACTATGGCAATGTACATAATAGTTAAGATAATAAATTTTATGTTTTTTACCATAATAAAAATATTTTATAGTTTTCAGGATAAAATATTATACCTTTTGTTAAATTTATAAATATATATCTTTTGGGATGATTTTATAATGGAATTTTTATTTAGTTTTGTTTTTGAAATATTTATTGGTTATATTTCAGGACAACAATTAATTTTGTACCTTCGCTAAACTTGCTTATTGGTTCTGATAGTAGTTTCCATAAATTCCTTAGGTTTTTCTGTAAACACAGTTATATAGCCTGCAAATAAAGACAATTTCATCTCCCCTTTCCAGTATGTTTGCCTTTCATTTTTAATTATTGTATTTTTGCATTGGCTAGAACCTTCTAGATGATGTTTATAAGAAATGAGCAGACATTTTTGCCTTATCCCCCATATTAAGTGGAAAACATTCAATATTTCACCATCAAGTATGTTACCTGTGTGTATTTGTAGATACTCTAATCAGTTGAGAAAGTTATCTTCTATTTCAACTTTATTGAGAGTTTTTATCAAAAAAGGGTTATATTTTGTCAAATGCTTTTTTCTCATCCATTGTGATGATCATGTGAGATGTATCCTTTAAGAATATGATGCATTACCTTCTCTAGTGTTAAACCAACTTTGCATTGCTGGATAAATCTCTCTTGGTCATGGTGCAAAATTTTTTTGTTTCTAGACTCTGCTAAAATTTTGTTAAAGGTATCTAAACCTACGTTCATACATGATATTGATGTAGTTTTCTTTCCTTGTGGTATCTGAGTTTATTAGTATGTTAATACTGGCCTCATAAAATAAGTTGGAAATTCCACCTTTTCTTAGTCAACTTTGCATTGTTATAAAAGAATAGCTGAGGCTGGGCAATTTATGAAGAAAAGAGGCATATTTAGCTCATGGTTCTGCAGGCTGTTCAAGAAGCCTGACACCAGCATCTGCTTTTGGTGAGGGCCTCAGGGTGTTTCCACTTATGAAAGAAAGTGAAAGGGAGCTAGTGTGTACAGAGATCACATGGACAGAGAGGAAGCAAGAGACAGAGGGAGGAGGTGTCAGGCTCTTTTGAATAACCAGGTCTAATAGCAAACTCACTCACCCCTAAGGGAGGGCATTAATCTATTCATGAGGGATCTGCCTCTGTGACCCAAACACCTCTCAGCAGGCCTCACCTCCAATATTGGGGATCAAATTTCAACATGAGGTTTGGATGAGACAAACATCCAAATTATAGCAGACCTCCTCTATTTTCTGACATAATTTGTATAGAACTGATATTATTTCTTCTTTAAATGTTTGACAGAGTTCATCAGTTGAGCCATCTGAAACTTGGCTTTTTCTTGTGGGAAGGTTTTTATTACTGATTAAATTTTCTCACTTGAAATAGATAAATTCAGATTTTTTAAATCTTCTGTGTTACTTTTAGTAACCTGTGTCTTTCTATTAATTTGCTCATTTACATTTAAACTATTTATTGACATAAAATTGTTCACAACAGTTTTTTATAATCATTTTACATTCTGCAGGGACTGTAGTGATATCCATTCTTTCCTTCCTTAACCTTGGAATTTTATTTTTCATGATTGTTTTTTCTTTTCATTTGATCAGTCTATCTAAGTGTTTATTATTTTCATTATTTTGTCAAAGACCCAAATTTAGGTTTAATTTCTATTGTTTTCTGTTCATAATTTTATTGTTTTATGCCTAATATTTATTATTTTCTCCATTCTACTTACAGTGAGTTTGATTTATTCACATGAGCTTTGTGAAATGGAAGCTTAGATTATTGAATACAAATTTTTTTCCTATTTAAAGAAAGTGTTTGAAGTCATAAATGTCTCCTTAAATGCTGCTTTAGCAGAATTTCATCCATTTTAACATATTATGTATTTTTCATCCAGTCCATTTTAAAATTACCTAGTAATTGCTTTTAAAAAATGCTTGTATTATTTAAAAGTAGATTGTATAATTTCAAATATTTACAATTTCCCAAATGTCTTTCTATTCTTGAATTTCTAATTTTATTCTGGGGTACTCATAAATTATTTTTCCTTTTATTATTTTATCTCTTTAATATTTATCATGATTTGTTTGATGCTCTAGTATATGGTCTATCCTGTGGAATGTTCCACATAAACTTGAAAAGAATGTGTATTCTACTGTTCGTGGTGGAGTATTTTCTATGAAAATTAGGTCAGTTTATTCTGGTATTAATCAAGTCTTTAATGTCTTTACTGACTTTCTGTCTGTACTAAAAATCACTGAAAAGGAAGCATGAAAATATTCAACTACAATTGTTAATTCTTTATTACTGTTTTCAAATCTATCATATTTTATATGCATTTCAGGGGGTCTGTTGTTAGTTGCATACATATATATAAATGTTATATCTTCTTAATATGTTGAGACTCTCATCATTTTGATATGTTGTTCTTTGCCACTAATAACAATTTCTTTTTTAAGTCTATTTTGTCTGATAACAATATTGTCACTTGTCTTAGTTTGTGTTTTGTTGCTAATTCAGGATACCTGAGACTGGGTAATTTATTACAAAAAGAAGTTTATTTAGCTTATGATTCTGGAGGCTGGAAAGTCTAATACCATGGCACTGGCATCTGGTGAGAGCATGCTGGCTGCATCATAACATAACAAAAGGCATCACATGGCAAGAGAGCATGAGTGTGCCAGCTCAGGTCTCTCTTCTTATAAAGCTGCCAGTCCCATGATGGAACCCTTACCCTGATGACCTTATATAATCCTAATTAAATCCCCAAAGCTCCATCTCCAAATACCATTAATAGCGCCACTGAAGCTTGATTTTCATTACTGCTTCCATGGCATAACTTATCTCTTTCTTTTACTTTAAACATATTTGTATCTTTGAATTAAAATGTATACAGCATATAGTTGGATCTTGCTTTTCTATTTAGTCTGACAATCTCTTCCTTTGATTATGTTATTTAGTCCATTTTCATGTAATCATAGAAAATGTTCCAGTCATAGAAGTGTCCACCCCCATCTATTGTGGTACAGTATTCCCCCTTTATTTGCATTTTCACTTTTCACAGTTTCAATTACCAGCAGTCAACTATGGTCCAAAAATGTTAAATGGAAAATCCTAGAAATAAGCAATTCATTAATTTTAAATTTGCAGACTGTTCTGAGTAACATGATTAAATCTTGTACTTTCCTACTTTGTCCCACTCATTTTGCCCAAGACATAAATCAGCCCTTTGCCCAGTGTCTCCATACTGTATACACTACCCATCTGTTAGTCACTGAGTAGTTATAAGATTGACCGTTGCAGTATCACAGTGCTTGTGTTCAAATAATCTTTATTTTACTTAATAATAGTTCCAAAGAGCATGAGTAGTGATGCTGGTATATTTTTATAATTGTTCTATTTCATTATTAGTTACTATTGTTAATCTTTTACTATGTCTAATTTATAAATTAAACTATACCGTAGTTTGTATAGAAAGAAAAACATGTACAGGAAAGAACATAGTATAGACTTGTGTCACTTAACATTGGGCATACATTCTAAAAAATGAATTATTGAGTGATTTTGCCATTGTACAAAAATCATAGGCTGGGCGCCGTGGCTCACGCCTGTAATCCCAGCACTTTGGGAGGCCAAGGGGGGTGGATCACGAGGTCAGGAGATTGAGACCATCCTGGCTAACGTGGTGAAACCCCATCTCTACTAAAAATACAAAAAATTGCCCAGGCATGGCGGCATTCGCCTGTAGTCCCAGCTACTCGGGAGGCTGAGGCAGGAGAATGGCGTGGACCAGGGAAGTGGAGCTTGTAGTGAGCCGAGATCGCACCACTGCACTCCAGCCTGGGTGACAGAGTGAGAGTCCATCTCAAAAAAAAAGAAAAGAAAAGAAAAGAAAAAAATAAATAATAGAGTATACTTACACAAACCTAGATGGTATAGCCTACTACACATGCAGGCTAGACTATCTGGTATAGCCATTGCTCCTAGGCTACAAATCTGCACGTTATTGTATTAAATACTGTAGGCAGTCTTAACACAAACGGTGTTTGTGTACCTAAGATAGAAAAGATACAGTGCAAATATGACACAAAAGATAAAAAATGGTATACCTCTATAGGGCACTTACAATAAATGGAGCCTGCAGGACTGAAATTTGCTTTGAGTGAGTGGTGAGTGAATGTGAAGGGATAGGACATTACTATACACTACTGTAGACTTTATAAACATTGAACACTTCCTGATGATTTGGCCCTTTTATTATACATCATGACCTTTTTATTTTATTTTCAATTTAAAGATGATTTTATGTTATTTAAGTTTAGCTGCTACTGCTTGCTTTTGGTTTTTATTTACATGGAATATCTTTCTTCATTCTTTCACATTCAATCTATGAGTGTCCTCAAAGGTGAAGTGATTCTCTAGTTGGGTCTTATTTTTTTATCCATTCAGCCACACTATGTCTCTCGATTAGAGAATTTAATCCATTTACATTTAAGGTAATTATTGATAGGTAAGAACCTACAACTGCCATTTTGTTTATTGTTTTCTGATTGTTTTGTTGATCCTTTGTTTCTTTCTTCCTCTCTTGCTATCTTCCTTTGTGAATATGTGATTTTTTTCTAGTACTCTACATGGATTCCTTACTTTTTGTCTTTTGTGTATCCACCATAGGCTTTTGCCTTGTGTTACCATGAGGCTTACATAAAACTTCTTACAGTTATAGCAGGCTATTTTGTGCTGATAACGACTTAATTTTGACTGCACTAGAAAATGCTGCACTTTTACTCCTGCCCCTCACATCTTATATTTTTAATGTAACATTCACATATTTTAAAGTTGCTTTCCTTAAATTATTATGGATATTACTATTTGTCTTTTAACTTTCATGCTAAAAATATAAGTGATTTACACACCACTTCAAGAAGATATAATAATTATACATATATATGCACCAAACATCAGAGCACCTAGATATGCAAAGCAAATATTAATAGTTTTGAAGAGACAGATAGATGGCAATATAATAGTAGGGGACTTCAATACCCCACTTTCAACAATGGACAGATTAGACAGACAGAAAATTAATAAGGAAACATTGGACTTGTACTACAGTTTAGACCATATGGACCTAAGAGAAATATACAATATTTAATCAAACAGAAGCAGAATGCACATATTCTCAAAAATGCATGGCACACTTTCCAGTTTACATCACCCGTTAGGCAAAAATAAAATTTAAAACTATGTAAATGGGCACAGAACATATCAGAACTTGAGGAATGTACAAAAAGGCAGTTCTAAGAACAGTCTTTAGCAATAAATGCCTATAGAAAAATAATAAAAAGATTTCAAATAAATAACCTAATGTTGCACATCAAGGATCTGTAAAAAGAATAAACTAAGCCCAAAGTTACTAGAGGAAGGAAACAATAAAGATTAGAGCAGAAATAATAAAATAGGCACTAGAAAAGAGATAGAAAAATCAATGAAACTGAAAGTTAGCTTTCTGTAAAGACAAAGAAAATCAACAAAACCTTAGCTAGACTAAAAGAAAAAAGAAAAAAATTGAATTAATCAGAAATGAAAAAGGAGACACAACTGATATCACAGAAATACAAAAAATCATAAGAGATGAATATAAACAACTATATACCAACATATTCGGTAACATAGAAGAAATTACACAACCTACCAAAACTGAATCGTGAAGAAATAGAAACTCTAAACAGGGCAACAAGTAAGAAGATAGAATCAGTTATAAAATTTTTCCCATCAAAGAAAAGCCCAGGACCTGATGGCTTTACTGATTAATGTTATCAATTTTTTTTAAAAAAAAAACTAATTCCAATTCTATTGAAACTCTTCTAAAAAATTTAAGAGGGGGGAATACTTCTGGAATCATTTTATGAGGCTACTATTATCCTGATAACAAACCCAGACAAGAACATTACAAGAAAAGAAAATTATAAGCGTATTTTCTTATTAAACATAGATGAAAAAATCCTGAGCAAAATAAATGAAATTTAACAACACATTAAAGGATTACTCATCATAAATCTAGTGGAATTTATCCCTGGGAGGCAAAGATGTTTCAACATGGGCAACCAGTAAATGTGATACATCACATTAACAGAATGAAGGCCCAAACCATGTGATCATCTCAATAGATGCACAAAAAGCATTTGAAAAAACTCAGCATACTTTCATGACAAAACCCTCAAAAAATTAGGTATAATAAGAATGTACTTTAACACGATAAAGGCCATATGTGACAGGCCCATAGCTAAGATCAAATTCAACTGTGAAAAGTTGAAAGTTTTTTCTCTAAGATCAGGAACTATTAGGTATATCTCCTACAAACCTGCATGTTGTGCACATGTACCCTAGAACTTAAAGTATAATTAAATATATATATATATATATATATATATATATAAAAGATCAGGAACAAAACAAGGATACCCACACTCGCCACTTCTATTCATTGTAGTATTAGAAGTCGTAGTCAGAGAAATTAAGTAACAGAAAGAAATAAAAGGCATCTGAACTGTAAAGAAAGAAGCAAAATTGTCTCTGTGTGCAGACTGCATGATCTTATATGTTTAAAAAACTCTAAAGACTTCACCAAGAAAAACTGTTAAAACTAGTAAACAAATTCAGTAAAAATTGCAGGATACAAAATTAACATGCAAAAATCAGTAGTGTTTCTATACACTAACAATAAGCTATCTGAAAAAGAAATCAAGAAAACAATCCCACTTACAATAGCTAAAAAATAATAACAACAACACAGAGTCATCCCTTGGTATCTCCAAAGGATTGATTCCAGGACCTCCCCACAGATATCAAAATGCACAGATGCTCAAATATCTTATATAAAATGACATAGTATTTGCATATAACCTATGCACATCTTCTCATATACTTTAAATTATCTCTAGATTACTTATGCTACCTAATGCAATATAAATGCTATTTAAATAGTTGTCATGCTGTGTTGTTTAGGGAATAATGCCATTTCTTAAAGTGTGTACATATTCAGTACAGATTAACTATTTTTAAAAATAGTTTTGACCTACAGTTGATTAAATCCATGGATGTGGATTCTACAGATACAGAATGCCAACTGTACATTGTTTACTTGAAAATTGCTTTGCAGATAACATGATTGTATATTTAGAAAACCCCATTGTCTCAGCCCAAAATCTCCTTAAGCTAACAAGCAATTTCAACAAAGTCTCAGGATACAAAATCAATGTGCAAAAATCAGAAGCATTTCTATACACCAATAATAGACAAACAGAGAGCAAAATCGTGAGTGAACTCCCATTCACAATTGCTACAAAGAGAATAAAATACCTAGGAATACAGCTTACAAGGGATGTGAAGGACCTCATCAAGGAGAACTACAAATCACTGCTCAAGGAAATAAGAAAGGACACAAACAAATGGAAAAACATCCCATGCTCATGGATAGGAAGAATCAATATCATGAAAATGGCCATACTGCCCAAGTAATTTATAGATTCAATGCTATCCCCAGCAAGCTACCATTGACTTTCTTCACATAATAAGAAAAAATCTACTTTAAATTTAATATGGAACCAAAAAAGAGCTAATATAGCCAAGACAATCCTAAGCAAAAAGAACAAAGCTGGAGGCATCATGCTACGTGACTTCAAACTATACTACAAGGCCACAGTAACCAAAACAACATGGTACTGGTAGCAAAACAGATATATAGACCAATGGAACAGAACAGAGGCCTCAGAAAAAAACACCATACATATACAACCATCTGATCTTTGACAAACATGACAAAAATGACCAATGGGGAAAGGATCCCCTATTTAATAAATAGTGTTGGGAAAACTGGCTAGCCATATGCAGAAAACTGAAACTAGACCCCTTCCTTACACCTTATACAAAAGTTAACTCAAGAAGAATTAAAGACTTCAATGTAAAACCTAAAAGCACAAAAATCCTAGAAGAAAACCTAGGCAATACCATTCAGGACATAGGCATGGGCAAAGATTTCATTACTAAAACACCAAAAGCAATGGCAGCAAAAGCCAAAATTGACAAATGGGATCTAATTAAACTAAAGAGCTTCTGCACAGCAAAAGAAGCTATCATCAGAGTGAACAGGCAACCTACAGAATGGGAGAAAGTTTTTGCAATCTATCCATCTGACAGAGGGTTAATATTCAGAATTTACAAGGGACTTGAACAAATTTACAAGAAAAAAACAAACAACCCCATCAAAAACTGGCCAAAGGATATGAACAGACAGTTCTCAAAAGAAGATACTTATGCAGCCGACAAACATATGAAAAAAAAGCTTATTATCCCTGGTTATTAGAGAAATACAAATCAAAACCACCATGAGATACCATCTCATGCCAGTTAGAATGGAAATCATTAAAAAGTCAGGAAACAACAGATGCTGGAAAGGATGTGGAGAAACAGGAACACTTTTACACTGTTGGTGGGAATGTAAATTAGTTCAACCATCATGAAAGACAGTGTGGTGATTCCTCAAGGATCTAAAACCAGAAATACCATTTGACCCAGCAATCCCATTACTGGGTAGATACCCAAAGGATTATAAATCATTCTACTATAAAGACACATGCACACATATGTTTATGGCAGCACTATTTCCAATAGCAAAGACTTAGAACCAACCCAAATGTCCATCAATGATAGACTGGATAAAGAAAATGTGGCACATATACACCATGGAATACTATGAAGCCATAAAAAAGGATGAGTTCATGTCTTTTGCAGGAACATGGATGAAGCTGGAAACCATCATTCTTAGCAAACTAACATAGGAACAGAAAACCAAACACCACATGTTCCTACTCATAAGTGGGAGTTGAGCAATGAGAACACATGGACACAGGGAGGGGAACATCACACACCAGGGCCTGTCAGGGGGTAGGGGGCTAGGGGAGGGATAGTATTAGGAGAAATACCTAATGTAGATGGCAGGTTGATGGGTGCAGCAAACCACGATGGCACGTGTATACCTATGTAAAAAGCCTGTACATTCTGCACACGTATCCCAGAACTTAAAGTATAATTAAAAAAAAAGAAAATTGCTAAGACCATAAATTTTAAATGTTCTTATTCCAAAAAACTATGTGAGGTAATGCAGGTATTAAATAGCCTGGTTTAGCCATTCCATGATTTATACCTATATCAAAACATCATGTTTATACTATTACTATGTATACTATGTTATACAATTACTATTACACTCTTACATACATGCTATACTATTACTATTACCTTAATATGTTTATACTATTACATGATGTTTTGATATAGGTATAAATATATATATACAATTTTTACTTGTTAATTAAAAATAAAAATAAACAAAAATTAATAAGCAGACTAAATTATTTTATCTTATCATGCTAAAGAAAAGAAGTTGCTTTTTTTCCTCATTGCTGCTTGCAGTGTTAAGTTCTAATACTATATTTAAAAGTTTATCCTTTATCTTCACTACAATGTAAGCTCCATATTGATAGGAGATCTCTCTCTCTCATTCTCTCTCTCGTTCTTTCGCTCTCTCTCAGTTGTGTCCCTAGTATTTTAAAAAGTGCCTGTCACAAATATGGATTTAATAAATATTAAATATCTATTGAATTATTGAGAAGATCATTGTTCATTAGTTGTATGTGGTTCTATTCTTCTACTAAAAAAAAACTTATCTAGAGAAAGCAGTACACAAAACAAAATCAACAAAAAATGAGAACATTGTAGAAAGAAATGTAATTATTTTAGGGTCTTTCTATTCATAAAAAATCAGGAGAGTTCTAAATATTGTTATTCAACTAAGAGACAGAGATTAGAATTCATTTTTGTCTACAAAAGCATGTGGGTGTAGAGGTATAAATTTCCAAATTCACAGATTTGCTGAATCCAAAAATGTCTTTCAGCAGTTCTTCCCTTTAGTGAACATTATAGAATATTTCAAACACATATTCTGTGAATCACAGCATATGTCATAAGCTTATTTAGGTATATCCAAATCTAATTCAACCCTGATGACAGTCTGGTTTTTAGAATGATTCCACAATTAGCACTAAATGGCCTTCCTAACAGTCATACAATGGTATATGAATCATAAGAGTCATACAATGGTTTAGTTATTAAGATATCACTTACACCAATTTATACTGAGAAGTCAAAGGAGTCTACTTCAAAATCTCATTTCTGAAAGTTGACTGTTCTGCATATGTGTTATTGTTTTATTCGAAAAGCCATTTGACAGAGGGCCTCTAAAGAGTAGAAGAATCAAGTATTTCCTATCTAAAGTTTTCAGAGAACAGTTTAAAGAAATGACCTGTTTTAGTTTGGAGCTCTCTAAGGAGTTTGCTTCACCTTTATCATTGATCTTTCTGTTTGAAGCATTCATTTACCATCCTGACATAGTCTAGGTCTGCACTGCATGATGTTGATGATACTTTTGTCAACGTGAAGAATGCAGTGCCATTGTTACAGAAACTGTAAGAAACAGAGACCTTAATATGTACCATCTGTTTTACAGAAAAACTCAATGTGATAATGCATTTGCAATACCAGAAGCAATATCTCTAAGACATGAAATGAACATATGTTGTCTAAGAGCCTTCAGGCTGACATTGAAAAAGAGAAAAGATAGTACTTCAAGGCAAATACTGTCCCAGTAGAAAGACTGCCAGATCCAATATGGCTCAGCCTATTGACAAGTCTCTGGTGAACAACTTCATATAAAGATTTTTACATTGTTATGGGCTGTACAGCTCTCTGGCCCATCTTTTCAGCATGGGTAAAACAGTAGAAAACACCCCCTTTGTCACTCTGGGTACTTCTCTGTTTCAGAGCAACAGATGTTGTCAGAAAAAGTCACACTACACAATAAAGTGCTTGAATGATTATTTTTTAAGGCTGAAGTGAAATTGAAACTGTGACTTCCAATCAGTGAGCAGGTAGTTTTAAAAACAGGCTTAAAATGAAGCTACTGGATGCTGTAAAGAAACATCTAGCTATTTAACATCGATGCAAATTATGAATTTTATTAATAGCAGCTTACATTATTATCCTATATATGCCAAACTGTGTTGAATATCAACTGAAGAATTCTGACCTCAATTTTCTAGATAAACTCTAATATAAAATTATAGTATTTTACAATGTAAATTTTAAATATATATACAGTAGATACACACATATATACTACAGTATGCACATAGCCATAGTCCGTTTATGTGTGTTATATATGTATAAGTGAGCATTACAATTCATTACAAAGGTCAAATGATGGATTATTAAGCCCATTAGAAAGAAGAATAGTTAGTTAGCTTAACAAGTGCTAGTTTGCTTATATTTTAGTTCCAAAGATTCAATATGAGTATAAGTAATATTATGCCCTAATCAGGCTTAGCTTTTCATAAACATGTCAATATGAAATATAAGCCTTACATTTTAAAAACAGTTGAAAAAATACAGCAGTGGACTTGGAGCCAGGAGCTCTGTCTTTGAATGTCCAGTCTTCATTTACAAGGTACATGACCTAAGTCTGACGTTGGGTCACCCTTCAAAGCCTCAATTACTTCATCTATAAAGAAGGGAATTGAACTAAATGATTTCTAAGTTTCTTTCCAAATCTAAGTATTAAATTCTTTTTACAAATAAACAATCTTTAAGAAAGTTTAAAATGGGGTGGCGGGAGTTTTTGAAGTATAACATCAAGATAATTAACCCATTTATTTTCTGTATTTTATGTTTTAAACTATACACTTATCTATAGGAAAATTGGGTTAAACAAACTACACATAGAACATCTAATTTTTATATCTATGAATTTCACAATGCTACATAAATTATTGTTCACATTCCTTCTAAATCTTACTTAGGAAAGAAGAGAAAAGCCTTCTTTGTGCATAGCCTGTTAGATACTTGGCAGGTAAAAGATAATGGGAAGCCCCCTGACCCAATCACAACCGTACTCCTGTATTTCCAAAGCTGATTTAATTGAATAACTTTTAGGATTTAGATGTAGTTCTATGATGATCTTTAATGTAAAGTATTTCTTTTGAATGATCTTTATCTTCTATTTAAATGAACTTGACGTGATAGCTCTTGTAGCCTGCCAAGGATCCAGGACTTACACCAGACATCCTGATCTTGTTCACACTTATGATCCAAGGATGACATTAATTAGGAGATTTTGGCTCTCTTCAGAGTGGTATTCTAGGCACCAGGTCAACTGTCTTCCCCCAACCCACTCACCTCTAGCATAATAACAATTTGAATTATGTTTCTCATAAAAGGAGGCTGGCTGGTTCACTAATTGTTCTTTGGTAATTATGCTGCAAATGGAAACCCCCAACATAGAAACATATATTCAGCGTTTGAACTGAGAGTTTGTATAGACTTTTCCACACCCTATTCTAAAGTTTCACTCTCACTTTAATTACTAACTTCTACTTGCCTTATAACATCCTAAATCCAGTCTCTGATCACTATCACCTCCTTATTGTTTTATAACCCAGTTTCTGCCGTTAATGGCATATATTATATCTGAGAGCTGCACAGAGCAGTGAATGTTCTGGTTACCCTTGGATTTATAGAGATTTACTCAAACTGCCGCCTGGTCTCTTGACCTGTCAACAGTCAGGGGCGGATCAACAGAACTCTTCTCTTCACTGTGGGTTAGACAAAAGCCACTGACGAAATTCACTTCCAACCACATAAAGTTCAAAGGCACTGGCCTGAGTGGTCCAAGTGTTTATTCAGGAACATGTGGATCTGATGAGTGTGAGGAGATTGGTGCAGTATGGCTCAGATGCAAGTCATTGAGTATAATTGATTTTTAATGGGCTGGCTACCTGCCACCAGATGTTCATCAATTAGGTACGCTTTAAAAATCAACACAGCTGCTTATTTCATGCTGACTATCCAGTCGCTGAGGTATTGTTACATAGAATAAGTCATATCCGTGCTGGGTGATCTTACTTTTTTTGCTCTTGACCAGTCATGATCTAGGCCTACAATTATTAATAGCATCTCCTTTCTCTCTCTCAAAATGTCCTGGTTTGAATAATAAATCACATGGGCATTTACCTATTTGTCACACTCTTTCATGCACTGTACAAAGTAAATTAGACATAGGTCTTGCCCTCTAGCATCAAATAATTCATGTTAACATCATACAAAAAACAGGTCTTACCTCTGAAAATCATTAAATTTCAGCACTAACAGGAACTTTGAGATTGCATTTAGTCTAATGCTTCTTAAGAACTGGTTTGTGAATTGGTGAATTAATCTTTACCAACTTGCTTCTGCTTCTCCTGAACATATTTGCAAACATCATCTCAATGTCCTCCTTTGATTCTTCCTTGCTGTTTCTCTCAACTCTTCTAGACTCTCTCTGGGGCTACCTTATTTCCTCATGTGACTAGTAAAGCTCATGTCCAGGGAAGATCTTTCTCTCCTTTGAATCAATGTCTCCTCTACAACAATCTGATTAAATGACCTTATTGTTCATTATATTGGAATGTACAATCACTTTTAGGTAAAAGCAAATATCCATCCTAAAATATTTTGTAAGATAATTTAATTTTGTATCTATAAGGAAGAAGACAGTGTTTTTATAAATGGATTTTCTACCATCTTAGTTATGTTATTTTGTTTATGTTATTTTGTATGAGAATATTAAAACTTTTTTTAAAAACTTTTAACCCTCTTCATGCTACACTGTGCTATTTTAGATAAGTGTCGACTGGATAATTTTGACTAGGTCTAGCCCAGTCCCTACTTAGGAGACCACGTTTCCCTTCTGAATCTCCATTGATCTCCAGGAAGTATTTGCCCTCTAGTGGCTGCAGGCTCTAATATTTAGCACATATATATATTTTTTACTCTTTTTAAATTTAATTTTGATATTTATCAAAATAATAGTTATAGAGGATTTAAAAAATCATATTCTCCTAATATCTGTAATGAAATACAGAAGTGCCATTTCCCATGGCAATCACTTTCAATCTTTTAGTTATTCCTTTTGCAGTTACCTTCATATTCCTAAATAATGTATTTAACTTGCTATTTTTAAAATTTTTTCTATTTTAGAATTTTTCTTCTTTTAGAAGGGGAATTTTTTTTTTGCAACAATCCTCTCACAGACATATTGTCTTTGTTCTCACAATTTTTGGTTAATTTGGTTCTCAAAATTTTTGGTTAATTAAATACCACAATTTTTGGTTAATTAAACAATCAGGGTCAATACTAGGTTATGACTTGGTAAATTTTGTTAAAGTTTGGCTGGGTAGTAAATTATGATCATATTTTCTTTTCTAGGCAATCTTTTCTTATCTCAAAAACTAGCGATTATCTTGTTGTCTCTTCAGTTTTAATTTTGTTTGTTTAGTTTTCTGTGTATCTATCATAAATTTGGCAACCCTAACTTTCTCCCAAACCTATAAATCTCTCAATTCATTCTTGGGTAATCTGTAAGTTCCTTTTTATGTTGCTTGAAATAGCCTCACGAAGAGTTGGTCCTCCTATTCCAATCTGTACCCTCAGGAAGAAGGCTTTGCTGTTGTTGCTATGGTTGTGTTTTCTCCTCTCATCCAGTGTCACTGTTGATAAATCTAACGCCATTTTGATACCTGTCCTTTTGAATGTGAACTGCTTATTTCACTCATTTAGCTTTGTTTTCTTCCACACTGGATACTCTTAGCTGTCTCTCTTTAAACCTAGCATTCTGAGATTTCATAATGATGCCCCCTGCTATAGGTCTTATTGCATTCATTGTGTTCAAAGTTATTGGATACTTTTGATTTGAAATTTACATTCTTTGTGTCCAGAATTTGTCTTTAAAATGATTTAACAGATACTATCTTTCCCCCTTTTTTCTCATTCCCTCTTTCTGAAACTTTAATTAGGCAGATGTTAAGAAAATTTGGAGACTGAATCTCTAATTTTTAAAATATTTTTTCTTGTTACATCATCCTTTTAATATTTCATTTTAATATTATCTGTTACTGTTTTACTTATAGGGACATTCCAATTTTTATCTTAAGAAATGCATATTTGTATTTTTAATGTCAAATATTTATTACATCATGATGTCGGAGTTATAGGTAATATTTATTGATTTGTCCTTCACTATATTTTTCTCAAATATTACACAATGTAATTTAAAAGTAGGTATGCAATCCATGTTTGTATATGTGTGTATGGGCCTGTGGGTATGCATGCATGCATGCATAAATTCAGGGTCATATTAAACTATTGATTTCTAATTTTGTACTAGTATCCTATAAGGTAACTGTATAACTCTTTCAGTGTTTTCATATTCAGAGTTGATAAATAACTCTGTCCATTATTTTTGCTTTATAAATACCTGTGCAATAAATATGTACAATATGTTATTAATCATTTCCTTAGATGCATTTCTAGACTGAAATTAATGGATAAACTGTTATGCATGTTTTTACGATTTTGATACAATTCCAAATTGATATACAGAGCAGTTACACAATACTTTTTAGCTTTTTATGATCAACAATTAGTTTATACATATTTCCAGCCTTTTACATTTCTTCTTTCATAAGTTATCTAGCAACATTACTTTTCCATTTTTCTTTTTGTGGCGGGGACTCTTTTTTAAAAGATATTTAATAGTCACATCTATACCCATTCTCTGAAATGCATGTTGCAAATGCACTTTATTCTAACATGAAATATTTTGGTTCTTAGTTTTGATGTTTTGATTCAAGTGTTTCTGATTTTTTTCACATGAAATAAAATATGTTGATGGATTTTGTGTTTTTTATTATATTTATATTTACACTTTTTTTAAACTTGACCTCTAGGACACCATTCTTTAATTCTTCTACACCACACATTACACATCCTCACTCTCTACTGATTTCATTTTAAATTTCATGTAAATTTATGACAGTAAATATTCTATAGGCTGAAGACACCCGTATTTTTATCTTTAGCTCCAACTCTTTTCTGAATTTCAGTCTCATATATCCAGGAGTGCCCTGGTTTAACAACCAACTTTTAGAAAAAAAGAACACATGTATAAATATACATAAGTTTATTATAAATTTTACTGATATAAAATGTGTGTAGCACATAAGTTACAAACAATAATGAAATAGACAATAATGAAATAGACAATATTATAATTTCTAATTTTATATAACCAGTTTATTCTCATAAAATATTTCTCTTTATTTTTGCTAAACTTTTGTATCCATGGTAAAATTATGACTGCAACTGATAAACGAGTGTAGCTGCAACATGAATATTTGTTGGTATTTTTATTTATATTAGCAAGTAAGACAGAGTGCAACAACAAAAACTTATGTCAGAATTTTTTTTTTTTTTTTTTTTTTTTTTTTAGATGGAGTCTCGCTCTGTTGCCAGGCTGGAGTGTAGTGGCGTGATCTCAGCTCACTGCAACCTCTGACTCCCTGGTTCAAACAATTGTCCTGCCTCAACCTCCTGAGTAGCTGGGATTACAGGCATGTGCCACCACACCCAGCTAATTTTTTGTATTTTTAGTAGACACGGGGTTTCACCATGTTGGCCAGGATGGTCTCGATCTCCTGACCTCATGATCCACCTGCCTCGGCCTCCCAAAGTACTGAGATTACAGGCGTGAGCCACCATGCCCAGCCCAGAATTTTACTCCTTCGTCAATGCTGTGTGGAATTTCTTTGCTGAATCAAAAATACTTTTCAAATACTGCAAGAATATCTTCTTGTTTGTTTGTTTGTTTTGGTGGTAGTCACAATGCAGCAGCCACAAACAGGATGCATGTTTAAGGTTAATCTGCCCTATTAACATTTTCTCTGCCACTTTCTAAACTAAAAAAATCATAAAAAGTTCTGATTTGTAGCATTCGTTACTTTCCATGGTCTAAATATTCGCAGCATGGCTAATTTCAAGTTACCAACATGACACCACTGAATGTGGAGCTGGGAAAACATATACACTAGCACACCATTGTATAATGCTTCTACCATATAGATACAATAGAAGTAAATAACTTCTAGGACATGAGTATTTTAAAAATCTAGTTAAAAGTTAGGAAGTAATGAGTTTTGATTATCTATTACCTTATCTTTGAATATAATTTAATCAAGTGTAAGTTTACATAATTTAATTTTTAATGAAGAGTCTGTTGGCAACTAGCTTGTAAAATTCCTAAAAAATAAACGGCTGGTTTACACAGTATTTGTTTACCATGGCATCTGTGATTAGTTAATACAAATATAATGTCTTCAAAATGCAAATTATCTTACAGATCTGGAGGACAGAAGTCTGAATGGGATCTCACTGGGCTAAAATCAAGGTGACTAGAGGGTTACTTTCCCTTCCTGAGGCTATAGGGTAGAATTTTCCTTTTCCAGCTTTTAGAGGCCTCCCACTGTCTTCCCATGAGCCCCTTTCATCTTTAAAACCAGCAACGGCCACTGGAGTCTTTATTACATTGCATCACTCTGACAATGACTCTTCTGCCTCCTGTTTCCACATACAGGAATTTTGTGATTACATTGGGCTGACTCAGATAATCCAGAAAAACTTTTTATTTTATGATCAGATGATGACCAATCTTACTTCCATCTTCAACCTCAATTTATCTTTGCCATGTAAACAGGCATATTCACAGGTTCCAGGGACTAGAATACAGACATCTTTCGGCAGGAATTCTTCTGCCTACCACAGGCTCTTGCTTGCCCCTACAGGCTGCTAAACATTGAACTTTCTGTCCAACATTGCCATTCAGATGTCTAATTGGCATCTCAAAGCAAATTCAAAACCTAGCTCATATTCTCCATCCCCCAGAATTCTGTTCTCCATTTAGTCTTCCATATGTCAACTATACAAGTGAATTTTTAGTTGCCAAAACAAATTATTGACCCCTTACATACTCTGATATCCCCCTCAAATCCATCACCAAGTTCTATTTGCTCTATTTTCAAAATATAGCTAGAATTCAAAACTTCTCACCACCTCACTTCTACTACCAGTGCTTCAGAACATTTCTTAAACTATTGTTAAGTATTAGTATTTCATGAATGAGCTAATGAATGAACATAGTCTTTCATAATTACATGATCACATATATACATATTTTAGTACCTTCTATGCTGGTTTATGATTTTTGTTTGCTTGATTAGATTTAAACCTTTAATTAAGCTGTAATTTTATGCTAACGATATATAACTCTGATAAAAAATATTTGTTTTCAACGCAAACTAAAAAACATAGGGTTTATTCAGAATTCTTAATTGAAAACAACAGAACTTTAAAAAAAGGCCCACTTTTTAAATTCGGCTACATGTTGGAAGCCTAATTGTACTTTTTATTGTTAGACAAGTCAATACTGCTTTAATATACATTTTATAAGTTTCTTGCTGAAACTATATATGAAATGGATTGGTTTTCATAGATGAAAGTATTTCATCTATGTATTTCATCTAAGTATTTTATGACTGACTCATAAAATGCTACACATAATGTATACAACTCAATGAATTTGGGGATAAGTATATACTCGTGAAAACAAAAGAAACCATTAACTTAAGGATCTAATAAATTTATTATAAATACATATGGTTCAAAAAATCGGAAGGGGGGTGGATAAATCAGGTTGTGAAAATAAGTAGGATTCTCAGAATAGCTACAATATTGAGCCTAACACTGCTATAACCCTATTATTCAAATTTGAAACTGGGACATTTTTTCTTCTCTCTTTAATGATTTTATGATTTCTAGAAATTTCTTAGCAAATATTATATACAAACCATTCTTAATCTATTCCATTATTAAATTAGGTGAAAAATATAATCAGTTGTAAATAAAAATGACACAAATGATAAGTGTTTATGATTCAGATTTATTAGAATTCCTGTTTCATATTCTTTTAATCTCTTAAATTTTCATGATGTTATAACCAATGACTAATTACTTTTGCATTTCCTTTTACATAGAAGTTATGTTGATATACAAAGAAAAGTTGAACATAATATTTGATATATTTGAACTCTGTATAAACAGCAAAAGTTTTTGAAAATTAAAATCCCCAATATTCAAGTAACTCCCTTTGAATGAGGAGGAGACCAAAGGACAAGGTATGGTTCTTAATTCTTTGCAATTGAAACGCTCTTCATATTTGATTACATTTACTCTAAATGGCCAAATACAGTGCTGTTCCTTCCTAGTTTGCAATGCATGTGACTCACACAGTTAATAGTAGTGGGTCAAACAGTAGTAACTAATAAGGCTAATAAGACTTATTCTATGTTGGAGCTAACAAATCCTTTATCAGTACTTCAACCACTCTGCTTATGTGGCCTCATTGTTAAGATTATGCCTTTCATCTATGGAAACCAATCCCTTTCATATACAATTTCAGCAAGAAGCTTATAAAATGTGTATTAAAGCAGTATTGACTTGTCTAACAATAAAAAGTACAATTAGGCTTCCGACACAGAGCATTTCTAATTTGCATAAAAACCTTTCTAACCTATTCCTTTTACTGCAGAATATAACCAAAAGGTTATATTCTGTTCCATGCACCAGTAATTACTTTAAAATCACTAGATAGATGTACCTATGTAATATTGTACAGTTCTTTATGCAGATCATTAAAACTGAATTTATATGCAAGATGTATCAATAGGAAAATACTATTAAAATCATTAGAAAAAAATGACCAAACACAATGGATTCCTTCCACACATAATATCACATAATGTAGTAATTTTAGATAGTTTCTTCTTGAGAGCCACTGTCTTGATAAAAATCATCTCAAGGGTAAGACTAAAGACATACTTTTATCACATCTTTTAGTTGGGGCCTCTAATTTACACATTATAATTCAAAACGATAACTTTGATTTATTAGAAAGAGTAATTACAAACCGACTTTATATAAAAAGTAAGTAAACCCATTTGAAAGCTTAAGTGATTATTTTAAGAACACTGGAAGTGTTTTTGATGGAACATTTTCATTTCAGAGTACAGTTTGTTCCCCGTCTATGCATCATCCTTGTCTCATAAAATGCATGTCTCTGTTGTGTACCTGAGAATTTGAATTCTAATTCTAAAACAATGGAAACTCTTGTGATTCTTGTGGTTCTTGTGCTCTTTGATTTCCTTAAGTGACCCCTAGGAGGAATAATTCAGAATGTGGCTGATTCTCCACTTCTATGCAAAGGTGGCATGAAAATGTTTTGTGACCTCTGCCGATAAGCCATCCCCAGATTGTTTAATAAAGAGCAGCACAGCTCCACCAGGGTAACACAGAATGACATTGCCTCAGGTCACTGCAGGGCATGTCACATCATGTAACCCAACATAACCTGATCCAACAGGTCAGGTGCCTGTTGCCTATTTGTAGGTAATACCTTTTATTTCTCCTACAGAAGAGAGGCCATGTCACTAGGTATAATGAAATGTCAATTCTAGCTCTGGGTCCAAGGAATACCAATGGAAATCCTTTCCTTCCCAATTAAAGTAGACTCTGTTCAGCACTGAGTTACTTAGAGTGCATGTCATTAACAAGAATGTAGTTATGATTATTGAAAGTGAGTTGAAGGAAATCTGCTATAATTCCCACAAATTTAAGACTGGACAAAAGTTGTAGTACAGGCAGAATGCCATATTTTTTTTTCTAATGGTAATAAAAACAAAAAAAGGGAGAAAAAGCGTTATGAAACAAGCAATAATGAAACAGCATTCTTTTACAAAAGAGAATTACATTTTTCTAGCAAAACACATTTCTAAATGGCCAAGTGAGTTTTTTCTTTTAAAATTCCTATTAATCAAGATTATTTATGAGTGACTTATATTGCTTCATTCCTGAATTAATCAATTCAGGATGAATTGAGTGCATTCAGTGCTGAGTGCATTCAGATATACAGTAGAGCTGTAACACCCCGTGCCTGCCTTCAGTATGCTTAGCTGAATGAAGAAACAAAATGGACCTACATTGCACACCTCAGACGGAACACATGTTAAACTCCAGGCTCTTACCAATAAACCCTAGGGAAAGTAGAGAAAGAATAGATCACATGGTCTGGAGGAGAAAAAACGGTCTCAGAGATTTAAGTTTGTTATTACTGGCTGTGAGCTTAGTTTTCTAAATGCACAAGGAGATCCAAGTCTGCTGCAAAAGTTTAAAAACACAAGTGGCATGAAGAACTTTTAAAAAACGTCTAACTTGACTTTACCTACAAAAGTAGAGAGAATTTTCTTTTAAAATATGTCCTAGGTAGGGAAAATAACGATCCAGGAATAAAACTATAGGATTTATCACTAGAAAATTTTTGAAAGGAAATAATATAGCATGACTGTAAAAATTCATGTTTATTGGAGACTCGAAAAGTGGGGAAAGTGGGAGGGGAGTGAGAGTTGAAAAATTTCCTATTGGGTTCAATGTTCACTATTCTGGTGATGGACACACTAAAATCCCAGACTTCACCATTATGAATATATCCATGTAACAAAATTTCACTTGTATACTCAAAATCCTAAATAAATAATATACAAATTTATGTTTAAAAAGTTAACATGTGCTTAAAAATCACCCATATAGCCAATTCTCTTTAATTAATTATTTAATACTTAGTTGGCATGAACCCTATCTTATTTGGCTCAAATCTGTTAGGCATTAAAGGAGAAGAATTGAGTAAAAAGAACTTTCTTAACTTTAAGAAAGATATGAAACAGCTTTCTTGCAAGAGAGAAGAGTTTCATATTTGTGTTAACTCAAGGGGTAACACTCTTTCTTCCTGGATCTGAGTGGCGAAATGAGAGGTAAAATGGTGAAGGCAGATCTTTATATTTTTACAAAGTAGTTTTGCTATTTCATCAGTAATACCACAGATTTTTCAGATCAAAAATAGAGATAATATTACTTTTACTAATATGTTGTCATCCAAGTTGAATATGAGCCATTTCAGAATTTTCCATCACTTCAAATAATTTGTCATATTACTCACAAATTTTCTCCATTAGTTCATATAATCAAGATTTGACTGTGCATATTTTATAGGTAAAAGACAGAAATTAATGTATGCATCAAGAAAGAACCATTAATAAACACAGTTGTCAGAATTCACTTCATAATTTTATTTTAAAGCACAACTGGTTTTCAGTTTAAATAAAGCCTGTGCCTCCAATACGAGTGTATGATTTGCTTAGTAGCACATTATATAAATATAAAATATTTGAAGTTTAAGATATACCCAATATACATATAGGCTTTCCTGCCTTATAATGAAAACTAAAAGCTTTAATCCAAATAAGCAAATTTTCAAAATTGAAGAAGAAAACTATTCAAAGTAGTGGAATGTTCTGGTTATTCATTGTCTGCTAATTTGTCTCTACTGTGCCAATGTTCACAACTATTTCTACAATTTTAAATAGTTACATAAATAACTCAATTTAAACGAACATTGATGAACATAAAAATAATGTTCTCCGTTTCTACAAGCAACCTTGCCTTCACTTAAAGATTACTAAACTATTCTGGGTTGATTCCTTTGAGCACAAAACTGAGCAGAAGTGCCCAGAAGCTGTAAACTATGGCTAAAAATGACTAGAGGAGCTTTGGAGGCTCATGTTCCACTAAGATGTTTCAGTGCTTCCGACATCTTTGTGGACCCCTCTCATTTTTGGCCTCTTTTTTGTTTCCTTCTTTTCTCAAAATATCCAAAGAGGGAGGTGAATGAAAAGCACAGTTGGGATGAGATTAGGACACTGGGTCATCTCATTATCTTACTCTCCACTGTCATCCAAGGTTTGGCATCTCATGTGTTAGGTTGTCTGACAAGTTACAGAGCACGCTGGAGTTATAAGATGGCAGCTCCTGAAACTTAACTAGTTAATAGTAGCCAAAAAGAGAACCAAATCCATTCCTATATGATGACAAAACTAATGAAGCAAGAATTCTACTTCTCCCCAATTCCACTGCCTTCACATGGACGAGGGAAATAAACAGCATAGTTCCTTGTAAATTTCACAAAAACTTTTCTTTGGCATAGTAGAACAGTGGGAGAATGTGAGTGGGCTGTTCTATTTTTCTTTGGCTTTTAACTTAACTTGCAAAGAAAGTTCACACTATGTAAAGATTTTCACAGTTATGTACTAACAAGTCTGCAGGATTTGTTGCACTTATACAAGGAAGTCAGATTTGAAAATAAAACCGTTTTTCTGTTTGTGGATGCAATGATGAACATATGGTCAACACCTGGAATTTATAGAGGCCTTTACCTAATAAAACCTTCTGAGACATTCCAAGAATGACAACAAAGTGATGGCATGGAGCAGAGCTGCCAAAGGTAATCTTCTTCACCTCCTGGTTCTTTTAAAGCAGAAAACATAAAACTAACAACTTAGTGCTCCCAAAATGCTTATGAAATGTGCATTAAAGAGGTGGAAACTCAAGTTCTCTGACAAAGGTGCCATTATTTCATAACTATGAGTGTCTTTCTGGATTGTCTCTGATAGAGCTGGTTTATGAGGAAGAAGACTGATTGGTAAGCATACTATTAAAAAGTAGAGTAAGACGGAGTGCAAGATGGAGTTCAAAGTTTATAAAGTTTTACTTAGAATGCTTTTATAATAAAATGCATTCTTAAGTGATAAAACTACATACAACACTGGCATAATTTTTAAAATCTATTAAATTCAGCTGCAGTTTAGGGAAATGTCATTTGCAAGGTAACTCTAAGCTCAGCATAAACTTTAAAACTAAGGTTCCCAATCAGTAAAAGAAAAGTTGATGAGACCCAGATTGAGGGGGAAAAAAGATTGTTAAGGCATCAGAATAGAACTGCTTAAAAGTATATAAATGTGTTTACAGATGTAAATGACAGTAACATAGCCAAAATATTTTCTGTTTTGCAAATAATATTTTTCAAGTAATAATGTTATTTTTAAACAAAAATTACAATTAACCACAATCCTGAGCCTCTTCTTACCCCAGTTCAGATTTCAGAAGTTTATAATATTTAAACCAAGATTCAGTATTTTTAACGACACATCTCCAAGCCCCTCAGTCCTAACACCCTACTCCTTCTCTCCAAGAACCAAAGTCAGATGGGCAGAAGAAAGAGGTTATTTCTTCCACAAACATGTGAAAATAAACTCAGTGCCAGAAATACCTCTCAGAGACCAAAAGGAAAAAAAATAACTTTCCCTATTTTGCCTCCCAGAAAATCAGCCAGTTGACACCTTCTACAACTGTCAGATAACATACCACCACCAAAACAAAAAAACAAAAACAAAATATCTTGTTTCACCATGGAGAAGAGAAGAACCCAAAGCCTATTCAGAACTGGACTTGCAGTAAAGAGGATACAGAAGAGTCTGTGGGGTGGCTGGGGTGTGCATGCTAAGGACAGAAATAGAGATGTACTCTATGGTGGTAGAGAAGACTATTTGGGGCAGAAATGATGGCAGTTAGAAATTAAGAATGATGGGTATAATCTTAAATTACCTTTTCCTAGAGTTCCTTGTATTCTGGTAGAAGCATATCAAAACACATTGTACACCATAAATATATACAATAAAATAAATTAAAAGAAAATCTAACCAGTCCCAGAAAAGATTTTTTATCTTTCACTCCCACCCCAATTCAATAGCCTACTCCTGGCAAATGAACCCCAAAAATTTAAAAAAAAAGAAAAATATATAACATTCTTTCCCACAACCTATTGATCATGAACTATTGCCCTGTAGCCAATGCCTAATAAATAAACATTTTTAAATTAATCTAGGGCTGGAATTCCGCTCACCAAAAATGCTATAGGACTGAAACCTTGTGGTTTATTAGATGTCTTCCATTACACATGTGTCCAGTGTTTAGAAATCCTTTGTTTTATATGTTCTAATTGATTTAACTTAAATTTAAATACATTTATAAGTTAAAAAAAGTGAAGACTTCATAGAAAATGTTGAATACTGTTTAGCATTTTTTTTTTGGCAAAAAATTAGTTCTAGCCAACCATTAAAATTCAGAATACAATAATGGCAAATAGAGAGCCGAAGGCAAAATCATAGCAAAGAATGACCAAAGTATTAGGAGGAGAGTTTGCAGCAAATAGCAGTCATAGAAAGCACGCAAATTTTTAGCCACTGTCAATCATTAAAATTAATGGAAAACTCATAGCAACTGCTAATAATTGACATCAATGGAGAATTGATAGCACATGCTGATCAGCAATGTTAATGGAAAAATTCTTACTCCAAACTGCTCATTTTCAGATGTCATCTCAGAATAGCAAAAAGCTGTAAGTGTGAGTTTTGACTTGTATGTTGACATTTTTCATTTCTTTGAATTAATCACATGTATGTGATATGAAATAGGCACAGCCTATTGTGGCAACAGGAGTTTAATTATGACTCCAAATGTATTTGCAAAAGTGTATTTCTTCTGACTTTGGTGCCTCGAAAATGGAAGTGATCACCTGCTGATTATGCACAGGATCCCTGAGAGCTGTCTAACATGATAATCTAGTGTGCAGATTTGGAATTGTAAAAGGCCCCTTTTCTTCTTAGCGAATACCAAATGCCACTGGTTTTCTCAGTGCATAAAGAAATCAACACTCTTACAGATAATAGGTACTATGAAAATGTAACCGTTTCTGTACTCTTTCTAAGTAAACAAGGAGCTTTTTTACACCTGATCATAGCCTCACATTTATTTCTGTTATTTCAAATTTGTGGGTTCAATTATTAGATAGATTGTTCAGGATAAGATATCCATGTACACAATTACCATTCAGGTAATATCAGTTAGTTCTCCAGGAACTGTGTGCAAACATGGAAGCAGAACTGATGGCATACAATTAGGTATTATTTGCCATCAATCTTTCTACTGTAATCACAGAGGTTCATTTTTACCTAAGTATTCCTGTACCTCCAGGTTCTGCACATTAGTCTCTCCCAACTTCCCTATTATTCAACCCCCTGTCCTTCTTGAGCACCCCAAACTCGTCTGCAATGCTCAGCCCCATTCCCACCTCTGTTATGAGACATTTTCTGATTATCTCTTGATTTCACTTATTTGCATAAGCAAGCACTCACTGTGTATTGCAGATTTAATACTCATCGTGTCCTGTATTACTTGACACATAGTTATTTAAATCTTAATCAGTCCAATCTATATCTCACAATTAGATAGTGAACTCCTTTTAACAAAAGGAGTCTCTTATTTATCTTGCTCACAGTGCATAAGCCTCAGTGGCTTATACAAAAGAAAACAGCATTGAGAAAAATAAATGAGAGGAACATTGGAACTAGAGTCAGAATGTCTAGGTCTAATTATCAGATGTGCCTTTAAAAACCCTGAGAACTTTCCCAAGTTACCTGATCCCCATGAGCATCAGTTTTCTCATCCAGTGAAATGGGAGAATTCCTGGTCTGTTAACTTCACATACGGTTGTCAGAAGCAAACATAATCACGTATGTGAACGGGAATTGAAAATATATCTCTTTATTGTAATAAGTGCTTAATATAGATTTGAGCATTGAAAACAACAGTTTTTAGCTTCTTTTGTGGGAAGACTGAACAGAAATTCTCCAAAATATGTAAGCTTGAAAAATAATATCATACAATGTTATAAGTAAAGGGAAAATCGAGCGTGAGGGTAGTGGGAGAGAGTCCCAAATCAAGCCTAAAACCTAACATGAGAAAGATAGTCTATAGCTCTGGATCCTGACATAGCTTGAGCTCAATAAGACCAGCATTTAATACCAAACAAGCTAGTTTAAGTGTAAAATTATCTTCGAGAGCCGGTATGATGTCAGAATCTCATTAGTTGCTCTAATGAAAGATAAATTCTTGTCCTCAAGAAATTTCACTGTAAACAGATTAGTCTTCCTGTTCTTTTTTAAATCTAAGGTAAAGATTTATGAACTAGAACATGTGAAACAGTTTAGATTATAAACTTATGAAATCTCAACCTTAAGTTTATTTTATTTTGACTTCAAGACAAACATAAGAATAGCCATGAAGACTCCAGCTTTACTTGTGTATACGTGTAGAATTTCCCATAATGAAACATTAAAAAATAAAAAAGACTTCAGTTCATATACCATTTGAAATGATAAAATTTGGATTAATTATTGATTCAATGAAAGTCACAAATAACAGCAAGTAAAAGTGAAAACATTAGCCTTTTCTGAATAAGGTACAAATCATCTTGTATTTATCTTTTACTTCTGATTTTATAAATAATATGATAAAAAGAAAAAAAGAAAAGCAAGAGAATAATTTTTTGATATGTAGAATAGCACAGATGGAGAAATATGTAGGGCTTGACAAAAATTTGACTAACTTCTAATATCAGATGGGGTATAAAATGAGTGAAATGCTAATTTAAAATGAGTGGAGTAGATATGGTAAGTGGGAGAAAGAACATCTGTAAACAATCGAATTCAAACTTTTGAAATACGACATGCCATACAATCACTTCCATTACCAAATACCTGTAAACGTTGGAAAGACCTTTGCAAGCAAAGAATCAAATGAACAAAAATCCATGGCTGAAAAGATTAAAATTTAAAAAAAGAAAATCACCAAGAACCAAAAATGAGAAGAAACAGCAAATTAGAATTGATAATGTGGCTGTTTTTGGAGGATATTTTGCACAAGGTAATCCAGAGGCTTGACTTTTAATGTTCAGAAAAGGACAGCAACAAAACCTTAGGCTTGCAAAAGTTAAAATATGATGATCAAGACCCCTTGCACTAAATCCCAAAAGTCTACATGCCTAATAAAATGGTGAATTGGGGGAAAAAAATCAACACAAGGAGACCACAAGAATTCTCTATTTCAAACCGGGCTTGAATGAAACAAAAATATTTCCCTGAGAATGTTATCATAGAACTGTATCTCTCATGACTGTGGAGATAGATTTTATATTACCTGCATGGTATCCAAATCCCTAAGCTTAAACATTTACATAAAAATTGCACGAGGGCCCTGCTGAAACCCTAGTATAGCTAGCAGAAGCAACCAAATTACCTTTTGGAAAAACATGGCTTCACTTCATGAATACTCCATTGAATATACACTCACAACCTGAAATTACAAAACATCTGAGAGTACAACAGTAGACGTCACCCACAGTAGAATTAGACTCCAAACAACTTAATATAACTACTAGGAAAATGCTATAAAAATTAGTATAACATAAATGAAGTCCTAAAAGTAATCAAACCACAAGAAAGGATTAAGACTACCTACATAGAACACACAGATGTTTTAAATAATCAACTCAAATTTTTGGAAAAAACAAACATAGCGACTTGAAAATTCAATGCATACATTAACAACAGACTGGACACAAGGAGATAAATTATATACGAAAATATTACTGAGCACATTTCTCAGAATGCAGCACTGAGAAATAAAAAGATAGAAAAATTCAAGGAGAAGTTAAAACATAGGGGTGCAAATTGAAGTGCAGTGTAAACATAAATGTACTTCTTGAAGGAGAAAATAGCAGATATTGACATTATCCTTATTCTGAGGCAATGACAGAAGTTTTTACCCAATTAAAAAGGACTCCTCATACTTGAGAAATGTAAGTCATAAGGAATATAGATGAAAATAAATATACATCATAATGAAATTTGAGAATGAAAAATTTAAAGAGTAGATCTGCAGAATAAGACTATTTACCACCTATAGATCCTTGATTTAAGAATTTCTAAAGATGAATTATGGAAGAAAGGAAGCTGTAACAAAGACTTGGGATTTTATTCTGATTGTCACTGGACAGCATTGTAATGTTTTAAAGAAGAGAATGAATGATGTAATTTTAACTTATATTTTTAAAATATTGCTCTGAATTCTATACGCCTAATGAATTATAAGAGCAGGAAGAGCAGCTACAAAGCAATTGCAGAAATCCTAGATGGGAAACAATAGTCGGTGGTAGTAATGGGAGAAGTACTCAGAGATGGAACAAGTCTTGCTGAAGGATTGGAAGTCATGTCTGAGCAAAGTGTTGAGTCAAGCATGACTCATAGGTTTCTGGCCTGAGCAACTGAGTTCATTGTGCTGCCTTTCATAAAGACCGAGGAGAAGCAGAGCTGGAAGAGGGGAAAAATCGAGACTTTTTAGCACTTTATTGAGGGCCTCTGATGCACAGATTTCTTAGCACTGAAATATGTACTAACTCGTTCAAACTTCACTACAACCCTGGAGGAAGGAAGTGGTATTACATTCCCTTTAAAGATAAGTAAACTGAGGTCTAGAGAAGTTAACTCCCTTGCTGAACATCGCACAGCTGTTTGACTTCAAAGTTCATACTCCCAAGCATTGCTCTCACCTGCCTCTTAGGATGTCTCTTTCAAGCTGAGATGTATATTTATGCTATCAACCACAAAGAAAGAATAGGTTTTTGAAAATGTAATGATGAAGTATGATATGGTTTGGCTGTGTCTCAACCCAAATCTCATCTTGAATTATAATTCCTACAATTCCCACTTGTCATGGGAAGAACCCAGTGGAAGGTGATTGAATTATGAGGGTGGGTCTTTCCTGTGCTGTTGTCATGATAATGAATGAGTCTCACAAGGTCTGATGATTTTAAAAATGGGAGTTCCCTGCACAAGGTCTCTTTTAGCTGCTGCCATCCATGCAAGATGTGACTTGCTCCTCCTTGCCTTTCACCTTCCGCTATGATTGTGAGGCCTCATGGAACTGTAAGTCCAATAAACATTTCTTTTGTAAATTGCCCAGTCTCCTCAAGTATGTCTTTATCAGCAATGTGAAAACAAACTAATACAAAGTACAAAAAAAAAAAAGAGCTGGAGCAGTGGCTGTCAACTTTTTGTATGTTCTTGGACCATTCTAGAAATGTAAAACTTTTGGCATCAAACTTGAAGAGAATGAAATTAAAGCAATATAACCATCCTACGGCACAGGGGTGTCTCATACTACTAATGAAAGCATCCAAAAGCAGAGAATGTTCCCTTGATCGTCCTTCAGAACTGTGCACAAAAGCATAACCTTTTATTGCCCTGGACATTCCTAAGTCTCTGTGAATGAGGCAGGAAGGAAGGGGACACTGATGTCAGGCTGACTTCCCAGCAAGTTGATCAGAATATAAGCTCCATGAGGGCAGAGATTTTTCTGTTTTGTTTCCAATAGATTCCCAATACCTACAACATCATCTCAAGTATAACAAGTACTTAACAAATATTAATGGTATGAATGTTTGAAAGTTGTACCCTGCTCCAATCCCAAATGCCTGATTGCTCTCAAAAGTCTCACAAAATATTCTATTTAAAACAAGCACACAAAAAAACTCAACAATAGCAAATGCAAATTATGTACATTAATCAAAATTCACAGAACCTGTGAAGGTTGGAGCATTCTTGAGTAGTAACAGGATAGATAAACATCATCAAGCTAAGACATTGCCTTTACCATACACAAAACCCATAAGCTGTAGGTTTTGAGGCAATGATCAGTCTATGCTTAAGAAGGCTTCAGAGAACGTAGTGTCCTTGATTTACAGCCAGTGTTTGATTTAAAATAAAAGACATAGATGGATGGCAGGAAGAGGAATGAGAGATAGGAGAGTTTGGTTTTAATGAACTAATAATTTCAGAAAGGTCCATAGAAAATAGTCACTGGAAGGAGGTCAGTAGTAAAAGGAAAAAAAATAATAAGGAATTAAACAGTTGTAGGAGGGGTTTTATCAGTACATTATATGATAGCTAGCCAGGAGGTTTGCACTTGAAAAGGTAGCCAAAGATGACAGATTTAAGGAACATGGTTGTGATGATTTTTCCCTGAAGCTGGTAGTTTGAAGAAACTGAATTGTTTACAGTTCCTGATGATGTTAGCCCCAGTCTTATTGCTCTGCACTCGGTAGGGCATGTCCCTGAGAAGTTCTCCTGGCATCTGTTGAAGGCAATTCTACCTATCCATGATATTTTTCATGTGTATTGGAGGATATAGTACCAGTCCCTCACATTCTGAACTTTCACCTTGGGAGAAGATTACTTGGATTCCAGAATTCTCTACTCTAAATCTAACCACGTGACCAGAATTTTCTAGGAGGCATAAGGCTCTCAGGGCTGTAACTTGAGTTGTTTTTTTAGATCCAGGAGAAAACGCACATTGGAGAGAGTTCTACACAGATGGTTAGAGATGAGATTTGCAGGAGCCCATATGCCGCCTACCTGGCGGAGTTATAGCAGCATGTGGTGATGACAAGTTTTAAGTCTTATAAATGGGAGGCCCTGAAGGGGTTTTGAAAGAATTTTCCTCCAGTGGCTGAGGACAGGATTGAGTGAGACCCAGGTTGCTTCCATTTAGGAGGAGTCGCATTGGTTCAAGATGGCTAGAAAAATGAAGATATGTTCTTCAACTCCCCTTATGAAGTCTTAAAGAGTAAAAATTGCAGAGTACTATATTATTACATATCATCATCCCAACCATTGTAAGAAAACTGCATTTCTTATTTTCTAATGCTGAACAAATTTGGCCTTCTCCATAGTCATTTCTTAATCTTCAGTGATATGAACACTGTTCTGTGTAAGAAAAAAATCAACAACTGGTATCTCCCCATAGATGGTGTTTAGATTCCGACTTTCTTAGGAATAAGAATGTAGGTAATTGTGTGATGGGGTAGGTGGGTGTATGTGGGGACAGTGTGTAAGCACGGGTATATTTATATAATGTTCTCAGTTCATGGTTTTATTTCTTTAAGTTTTAAGAAAATAGAAAACAACAGTAAACAGTAATTGTTTAAATGGCAATGGCATTTTAACTAACATTTTTTTCTGTTCACAGATGTTGAGACACTATAAGGAAAGAATAACATTCAACCTTTCTAAAGAAATGAACCAAGTTTTTCTATCACTACTTTTTACGTTGGTTCCACGCGGGTGGTCTTTTATTTCACAGGGCATATTAATCTCCTGTTATATGTAACAACCACTACTGTGTGTCATCTCAGTGCAGTACAATAAAGTGACTCCAGAGTTTCCCTCCAAACTTAGTGACCAGGCTTCTCTTACTGTGACAAATGTTTATAGATTCTTCTAATTACACGTCTGGTTTAAAGCTAAGATACCAAGAGAATACAGTTCTCTTTTGTAAAGTTCCCAAGGTTTTTCTATAATAATCAATTACCATAATGAGTTTTTTTAAAGCTTCCATTCATCATTTTCTTAAAATACATAAACTACCCCGGATAAAGATAAATAGCCATAGCCAGCATACCCTGAGGCACTCTACGAAAGGCCTCCTTTAAATCAAAATCAACTGGAAAACATGTTGGGTTTTATTTCAAAGTCAATCCTGCTTAAGTCAAAAAAATTGTGTACAACAACAACAACAAAAAAAAAAGGAGTAAAAGAAAACCCTTGACAAGTCAGCTTCATAAGAGGACACAAGACAATACATCATTATCACAATTATCTCTGTAGCTCACATGTATTTGTTAAATGGGTCTCGCCAGCTAGCTCTTGTGCCATTAAAGCTAGGAACTAAATCTCTATGTGGGCCTTTCCTTACCTATTAACTTATTAGCTCCTTCTGTTCCTAGGAAAGCAGCACCCAAACTGGGAGTTATTTGGCACGTCTCTATCTAAACCAGGACTTTTCAACCTTGACACTATTGCAATTTGGGGATGTACAATTCTTTGTTGTATGAAGCTACTTTGTTCATTGTAGGATGTTTAGCAGCATCTCTTGCCTCTATCCACCAAATGCCAATTGCAGACACCTCCCTCCCCCAAATTATGACAACTAAAGATGTCTAGACATTGACAGGTGTCCCAGGGTGGGTGGGGCAAATGTCCCCTCCTGTTTGAGAACAACTACTCCGAACTTCCCACAAATATTAAATGTGAGAGGATTCAGTAAGACACTCTGATAGCATAAAAATGGCATAAAATTGAGAAAACTAAGGTAAGGAATAGCAAGGTTATTTAGCTGGTTGGATCATAGAAAGGATGAAATAGGAGAAATTTGGGTTATGATGGAAGAGAGAACAATAATGGCATGGAAAGATTTCCTATGTTATTTAAGCAAGATTGTTAGGTGTTTTTTTGTTTTGTTTTTCCTCATTGCTATTCCTTAAATGCGGACTTTCTACAAAATATATTCTTCAAACTCTTGCTCTTTTTTTCTCTACTCTTTCCCTCTTGTGTCTTATATACTCATGTCTTTTGTCATCTACACCAGGAAGCTGTGTCAACCTTCACTGCTCTTCCCAATTTAAGACCGTAATCTAAAACAACTGTCATATGCTTACACCCAATATCCTCTATAACACCATACTTTGTGCTCAGGCTACTACTCTTCCAGGCTTTGAGGCTCCCAAATTTATGCCAATAAACATAGAAATAGAAGGATTTTAAGGAAAAATTTTAAAGAAGGATTTTAAGGGAAAATTTTAAAGAAAAATTTTAAAGAAAATTTGCATTACTTACACTTGCCCTCATGTTTTTTTGTTTTTGTTTTTGTTTTTGTTTTTTTCATTCTCTTATATCCCATACCCTACCTGATTAGGCAGAATAGGGAGTACAAAAAGATTTGAAATTTCTAAAAATATTTCAGTTGTCTTAGCTTTGCTTTATTTTAGCTGCATTACATCAGATAAATCATATTCCTGAGTTTGAATTTTTAACATTCAAAATGAGGCTTTCTCCAAAGGTCTTTATCCAGATCAAATAAGAAACCACATTCAGGGATGGAAAAACCACCCAATAATATGCCTGACATTTCATATTACATATTTTATGATTTAATAGTGTTTATTTGCCTGCAAAACTTTTCATTTTTGAATGAAATGTGGGACATAATGTCAAATCATAATATGTAAGAGGACACTCCCTTAAAATACTTTATATGATTATTAACATAAACAACTGTTTTCCCTGTATTATTGTCCTCTGACTTCCTGATTCTGAAAGCTTCTCATTCATTGTTCTTCCACATAATTCTAAAGGAATATTTTAGATAACCTTAGCCAGAATCCTGAGTTTCAAACCATAACCTCCGAGTTGTTCCTAAAGATATACTGTCCCAATTAGCCTTTAAACCAGAGCCATTAGCTGCATATCTGAAGGAAAATAAGAGTGTCATCTCAAAAGGCACGCATAAGTTACTAGGACTACAGTTAGCCCCCTCTAACTAGTATCTTTTGCATATCATAGACCTTAGAAGACATAATTTTTAGATAAATGATACTTGATTTGGTAGTTATTTATGGAGAAAAATGACTGGGTTGCCTCAAAATAAAATATATCCTATGACAGTGACTTATACAGAACATTGAGTTTATGGAAAATGCAGTGGTCCAGAGAAATAACTTCTTTATTTATGTTAAAGATTTAAAAAATGCTACATTTAATTTTAATATCATGATGAGCAGTATTGCCCCTGCTTGACAGGCCTCATTACACTGTAGCACGTACAGTATTTGCCTTATTTAACAATTTTTATCAATCATTTAAGAATAGGAAATGCACTCAAAAAAAAGATAGACAAAAAAAGTGATAGACGTGCAGTATAGAGCCTGTTAGCTCTACAAAAATTTGCCTGGAGTTGTAGAGAGTCATGAAAAATAAAAACAAAAAGTTTCTTTGGTAAACTCTAGGCTCATGATTTGATTCATTTAGAAGCCAAAGACAATCCTTATTAATTGTATAAGTAACTGTGATTCCTATTTACCATAAAATATCCCTCTGGTTTTCTTCATACGAATGGCTTATCTTTATGTACCTAATTGGATTCATAAAATTTGTGTGTACATCATCTTCTGGTCACTCTTAGACTCTTCCTTGTAACTGTTAACAATAGTTATTCTTCGCATCTTTTCTGATGTGAAGTTCCCTCAATCAGGGCCTCCTTTCTAAAGTTCTCTTAAAATGTGAAAATGCAAAGCCTGTAACAAACACAGCACTGATGTAGACTGTTCCACCACCCCAAATAATTTCTGGACTAATTAACAAAAGAAAGAAAAATTATAAATCAAAACTTTTCACTTAAAATTATTTATTCTTCAAAGTCTTATTTTTATTTCATTCATATTTTAATTCTTCCTCTTCTCTCACAGGTATTCATGTTTCCATTTTATTAATATTTACCTCACTCCTGTCCTTATCATACCATTCATGGAATCTTATGCTTTAAATTCTTGTTCTATACAGTTTTAATTGTACTTTTATGTTACATGCTGTTTCAAAATTGTTTTTAAAACACTGGCCTCGTATTAGGTGACATTAGGTACATATAAACTCTGGCCTGCGTCTGATTCTGGTTGAATATTTTAAGTACTCTAGGTGTTAGCACCTCTGCTGTAAAATAAAAATATTTTTGGCTAAATATTAAAATAAGAATTGATTATTAAAATAATATATTTTGCAAAATAGCTGGTCATTAAATCTCATTTAAATAGAAAATTTTTGACTTTATGACTAATGGAATATTCAAACAATACCTATTTCTCTTTTCAATCCATTTATTATGTCTTCTTCACTCTCACTAAATATAAACTACTTAAAAGATCAGGGACTTTGTTTTACAGTTAAACTCATAGTATTAGAACAGCGCTGTGGCATAAGCTCAAAAAGAATAGGCAGAATTGTATTAAATTGACAAATATAATTCACATTCCTAAAATATCTTAGCAATTCTCATCAATTGAATGCACTTTTTTGTTCTCATTAAAATACATTAAAAATTACTTCACTCATATTAGAAATCCAGTAAAAAAGAATCTCACCATAAGTCAACTGTCTCAGAGATTTTTATAGAAATAGCTTTTATTTTTAAAAGAATAATGCTTCAATTCATCTACCTTATTCTGCCACAAAGAAGATCTATTGGAAAATAAAAGGATTTGTGTGGGTAACTCATAAAAAGCCATATTAGAGCCCTCTGGGATAATTTTTCAAAATGGTGTACAGTGTTTTAACGGCGTGATTCTCATTGACTTTAATGGGAGTCATGCAGCTAACACCGCATTTGCTCTTTCAAAACGTATCTTTAAGTGTTCTGTCACTAACCCTTATAAGTAATAAAATGGTACACTCTATTTCTAGACATGTAAACATAATCATGTTTATATCAGTATAATTATGAACTTTTTGTGCCATCATAGCTGGGTTTTCATTATGCTATCACTCGCTTTTTGTTTGCATAAAGACCCAATTTTTAATGGATGTTATTATGACGTGTGTGTGTGCTTTACCATATCTGATTGTGACAAGACAGTGTTGTCCTGATAGGAAAAAAATCCTGAATGTATATTTGTATTGAAAATCACTCATTAAGATACTTATTTATGTCCTTTTAGATACAGCTCTCCAATATAGATTTATAGTTTGGGAAAAATATGGCAGTGTGATGTCTTTTTGTTGCAAAACAAATATAGTTTCAGCACCTTGCTGGTCTACTGTAAATATATGATTTTTAATAAAATGAGATTAAATATTTAAACATTTCTTCACCAAAATATATTAGTTATTACCTGCAACCCAGTCATAGTCCTAAATTTCTCCAAATATAAGGTGTCTACTGTGCCAGATTGTATGATGACTTCACAATATGGGCAAATGTTCACCAGAAACCATAAGGTGGTTTCTAATAAAGTCAGCTATTACATACTACAAAAAGTTATTACATAGTAATTCATTTCAACAGTTCAAAAATGTAAAATAATTGAAAAAGTGAATGGGCTACATACATTGAGCTCTCTGAATACTTTGCAACACTCACAAGGTGTTTTATTATCATAGGGTCTTAGCACTAGAAAGGATATCAATGACCTCATAGTCCAGCTTTTCCTTATTCCATCCCATTTTCAGATGAGCAAACCCATAGAGAATGATTAAAACATGTTGCTCATAATTTTTAAAATTCTATTAATATGTGGCTCTAAAATCATTTTACTTTTAAAATCTTTTTTGAATGTTTTCTTGAAGCAATTTGTAGAGAGAGTTTACCAGTTTGTGGACAACTGAAGACTTCAAACCCTCTCCTCATTTACATACAATTGAATATAAAATGATTAAATAGTAATCCCCCTAAGGTTTTACATGTGTACAAGATATTCATTTGGTTTTGAGCAAGCGTTACAGAAGCCAATGTTTCTGCTTAGTGAATAAACCGTTTATAGCAGAGACTCAAGACAATATTTAAGATACCTATGTCATAGTCACAGCTCAGGCAGAGACACAAGAAACTGCCTTTGAAATCAGCTCTGAACATGATAATAAGGCAGATGCTTTTTCACTACTAGCAACCTGTGAGTCATGTTATTTTCGTAGGTCTTAAGTAATCCACTCAGAGACTGGCCCATTAAGATCCAGAACTTCTATGTCCAAATGGCAATAGAACAAAATAAAGCACACCAACCACCCTCAGTGGTGACTTAAGGGAAAAAAAAGACATGGTGTATGTAGGATGGCAGGGCAGTGACTGATTGGGGTAGAGGCTAACAATGTAGATTTAAACAGACTGAGAGGCCACAGAAGATAGAGATAAAAAGAAAAATATATCAAGCAGGGATTTATGTGACTGTAAGAGACAATCACTCAAGGTAACCCAGGAGTCCAAATACAAGTTGAGAGAAAGAGTGAAGTGGAATCCTGAACATACCCTTCAACCATTATTCTCACCATCCAACTGGCGCACACACACGCGCGCGCACACACACACACACACACACACACACTGAGAGAGAGTGAAAGAGAAAGAGAGAGGCGCTATGTGGGGTTGAATAGGTCACTTGAACCTGAAGTAAGGTCGACTTTGTATGTTCTTTCACATATTGTGTGAGTGCTTGACTGGCTAATGACTGCACCAGTTTATTTTGGACTATACTACCACATCCCTCCATGGTGAACAACATTATAGATTACAAAGAAGAGGACCGGTAAAATATAGTTGATGCAGGAGGAGGGAGAAATCTAGGCTGGACTCATTTTAAACAAATTATCTTAATTATATCTCTTAAGAGTGTTATTCATTCTAATATTGGAAACTCATAATAGAATCCCAATATGAACAATTTAATTTGTTTCATATGCTTACAGTAATTGTAAAATGGATGGTGTTTAGTAATTTCTTGGTACAGTAGGTAAATCACTTGTAACTAATATTTTATTATCTTCATGAAATTTATGGAGTCCTACAATATTATGTACTATAAATATATATTATTTATAATAGATTGCATAGATTGTATACTACTGTCTTATATTATTCTATAAATGCCCTCAACTGACAAATAATGTGATCAGGCAAGCAGCAATTATGTGTAATGAAAACTTATCAATGATTATCCTTTGCTAAAAGTGCACTTATACAGACAGACTAAATTACCATTAAGGTTGATCAATTTAGATAAATTACCTGCATAGACAATTAGATGCAGCATTAAGGGTTAACCTATAAAGTTTTATTGAGTTACCAAAAACACTATCAGGTAGAGTCAAATATTAGAAGTCTTCTCTCTCCTTCTGATCTATTTATCAGGTTGTACCATGGAGAGGTATTAGTACATAATGGTTTATAGCATGGGTTAAACCCATGCTACATGTAGTATAGCATGTGTTCATTGATTAAAATTTTGCCTCCACTACTCATTAGTTGTGTGATTGGGCAAGTTACTTAACCTCTCTAAACCTAGTGAAATAAGGTTAATAACAACTGTTATCTCATCAATGCAGACAGCTTACCCAAGTGGACAGCACATAGTAGGTGCTCAGTAAATTTCATTTTTATTACTGTATTACTAACTTTGACTACAGACTAATCATATGTTCATAGACTGTGACCTGTGTTTCCTCTATTCCTCTTCATTTGAATTCCTAGAGTCTCCACCTTGAAATTTGCTTTGGTGACCTAATTTAGTTATTACATTCTTGACCTTTTTTTAATTTTATATTCTAAGAACATGATCTATACTTTGTCAAACCCAGCCTGACAAGCCAACACTGACTTCTGATATTTGATTATTTACCTCGGTATTCTTGACTGATATAGTTTGTATGTTTGTCCCCTCCAAATCTCATGATGAAATGTAATCCCAAAAGTTGGAGGCAAGGCCTGGTGGGAGATGATTGAATTACTGGGGCAGATCCCTCATGAGTGGCTTGGTGCTGTCCTCATGATAGTGAGTGAGTTCTCGTGATACCTGGTTGTTTGGAAGTGTGTGGCATCTCCCCACCTCTTTCTCTTGCTCCTGCTTTCACCATGTAACTTGCCTACTCCTGCTTTGTAAGCTTCCTGAGGCCTTCACCAGAAGCCAGATGTTGGTGCCATGCTTGTACAGCCTGCAGAATGTGAGCCAACTAAACCTCTTTTCTTTATAAATTATCCAGCCTCGAGTATTTCACTATAGCAATGCAAATGGCCCAATACACTTGATCTTATAGTACACTTTTACTTCAATTAATTCTGCTATACCCAAGAAGTAGAAGTCCAAAGCCTTTTGGTTTACCCAATTGGCTGCAGACGTAACTGTTTCATTAATTTTTTTCATAATTTATATGACAATAACAACGTTTACTATATTCTGCCACAGGCCTGGCAGGGAAGTTCTAGATAAAGGGTGATGCCATCAGCTATGATTAGCTCACCCTGAAGAATAATCATCCAATGACTGATGGAGGTCATCAATAGTCACTAAATTCCTTAGTCAGAGATGATAGTTCCAATCAAGCCTGCCATCTAGCAAATATCTATACTTGGAAACAGTAGATTTTTAAAAAGAACGCAATGACAAAAGACAAAAAAATGAATGTAACGAATCAATGCAAATCAATCACTGCTATTGGGAAAGATTTCTCAAAGTGATTGCCACAACAATAGCTTCCATTTACGTCTCAGATCATCCTTTTAGTTATGGCCCTAGCCACTGCTTGTATAACCTGGGTATAGAGATATCAGTTTGAAAGAATTCTGCACCAGGTATATTTGGACAAGCAAGCATACACACAGGTATTATAATACCACTTCATTTTATAAACCTCACAGGTTCCTTTTTACTTATTTTTGCCATCACTGTGCTATCACTGTTTATTTTTAAATTGACAAAAATTGTTTATATGTATCATATGCAACACATTGTTTTGAAATATGTATACAAGTTGGAATGACTAAATTGAGCTAATTAGAAGATGAATTACTTCACATACTTATTCTTTTCTGCTGAAAACAAATCTACTTTTTTAGCAATTTTTAAGAATACAATACATTGTTATTAACTATGTGGCCATGTTGTACAATAGACTTCTTGAATTTATTCCTATCTAATTGAATATTTGTATCTACTGTTTGACCATCTCCTCAACCTCCCTTTCTCCATCGGCCCCTGGTAAAAATTCTGCTCTACTTTTAAAAGTTTAACTTTGTTAGATTTCACACATAAATGAGATCATATAATTTGTCTTACTGTGACTGGCTTATTTCACTTGCAATAATGTTCTCTAGGTTCATCCATGTTGTCACAGATGACATAATTCCCTTCTTTTTAAAGGCTGAGTAGTATTCTATGTGTCTATATACCACAATTGATTTAGCCATTCATCCACTGATGAATACTTAGGTTGATTCCATACCTTGGCTATTGTGAATAATGCTGCAATAAATATGGGAGGGCAGATATCTTTTTGGCATACTGATTTCATTTCCTTTGGATATATCCCCAGTAGTGAGATTGCTAGATCATATGGTAGTTCTATTTTTATTTATTTAATTTTTATTTTGACTCCCCCAAAACTTAATACATTGTTAATTTTTTGAGGAAATTCCATACTGTCTTCCTTAATGACTGTATTAATTGGCATTACTATCAACAATGTGCAAGGGTTCCCTTTTCTCCATATCCTCTCTAACAATTATTTTTCATCTTTTTGATAATAGCCATTCTAACAGATGTGAGGTAATATCTCATTGTGTTTTAACTTGCATTTCTCTGATGATTCACGATGTTAGACATTTTTTTACATACCTGTTGGCCATTTGTATGTCTTTTTTGAGAATATCTATTCATATTCTTTGCCTATTTTTTTAATCAGAACCTCACCAACTTTTTACTCAAAAGCTCCACTGGATATGGAGGTATGCTCTTGAAAGACAACGTCTAGTGTGCTTGCTTCCCAGGACTTTAAAGCCACTATTGCCAGAGTTTGTACTCAGGTTGGGTTCTCCAACCTGAGTTCTCAAACTTGTTTGAGACAAATTTGGAGTGCAAGATATTTATTAGAGATTTCATTCATGTGGAAGAGATGAGAAGGAAGTAGAACTGGGCAAAGGGAGAAATTGAACTATGATGGTGGCTTGAAAAAACCTTGGTCAACCCCTGGAATATATGGCCCACCAAACTGGGAAGGCCAAACCTTTATATTTCTGCCTCCATCAGTCACTGGATATGAACTACCTAGAAAGGGTAAACTTTGACCCTGACCAATAGATTCTGCCTGAAGGCAGAATCCCTACCAGCTGGGTAACAAACCCTTCCTTGAAGATTCAAGCAGCAAATCACCTTGTGCAATGACTGAGTGTCAACTTGATTGGATTGAAGGATGCAAAGTATTGTTCCTGGGTGTGTCTGTGAGGGTGTTGCCAAAGGAAATTAATATTTGAGTCAGTGGACTGGGAGGGGAATACCCACCATCAGTCTTGGTGAGCACCATCTAATCAGCTGCCAGCAGAAAAGCAGGAATGGAAAGAGCAGACTTGCTGAGTCTTCTGGCCTCCATCTTTTTCCTGTGCTGGATGCTTCCTGCCCTCAAACATCAGACTCCAGTTTCTTCAGTTTTTGGACTCTTGAATGGACACCAGTGGTTTGCCAGGGGCTCTCAGGGCTTTGGCCACAGACTGAAGGCTGCACTGTCAGCTTCCTTACTTTTGAGGTTTTGGGACTCAGACTGGCTTCCTTGCTCCTCAGATTACAGACGGCCTAACGTGGTGTGATCCTGTGAGTCAATACTCCTTAATAAGCTCCTTTCATGTGTACATCTGTCCTATTAGTCCTGTCCTTCTAGAGAACTCTGACTAATACACCTTGTCCACCACAACGTATTTTCTATCTATACACTTTCAGATAACTGATCAATTGTATTTTGATATTTCATCCCTAGAACAAGGTATTGTGTGCTATATTCAGTCACTTCCCTCTTCTCATCCCCACTTTACAGCACTATCACTTTATCCCCTCCCACAACACACACATATTTCCAGGAGAATGAGAGGTGTAGGCTCTGTGCTATGTGATATTACCTACATTACCTTGCACAATTTCTTTATGCAAATGAGAAACAATTATACTCAAGGTCATGTAGCTAGTACAAGGATAGAGCCTGATGCCAATTGATTCAAGGTCTGTTTGTAAATTCTATACCTTAGCCCCTGAACTATATTGCCTCCATATGAAGTCACTCAAATACCACATTCATAAAAATTCATATTTTATTCAGGAATGTTTACATATTACATATTGACACCATAGTTTTCAAACCCATATCTCAAAAGATATGCTATATTTCCTAATTTGATTTTTCACCTCCTTAGTTAATCAGGAGACATTTTTACAGTACCTAGCTACATTTATAAAAAATGGATGACAGTTATTAGACAGATATTGCTGGTCTTAGAAAAAGAAATATTGCAATGTAAGCAGTATTTTACTAGTAAAAGTTGATGTAAATTTCCTAACACTTTAGGTAAATTTGCTAGTTTGAAGCACTGTGCTGACTTTACTAAAAGTTTGTGATCTTGTATGATTTTCTTGACTGCATATTCCTGAAGGGTACTCATCAAACTACATTATTTCTATCAATGGAAATTCTCCCACTTAGGCACTATATAAACCCTTTCTTTCAGTCAGATATTCCTTTTACAGATATTTATCTTCAGTTTCTCTTTTAGCTGGCATTATTTCAAACTGAAAATGTAAACACATGTTCTAAAACACCTGTTGTTCTGAATTTTCCAGTATAAATTTCTATGAAAGGGTCACAGATATGTTCATAAGAAGTATATCTATGCCCCAGTGGAAATTCTAGCTGAATGTATAGAGGAGCTGTTTTAATTTTTTACAATCTGATGGCAAACCACTAAGCCTGATCCATTTAAAGATCACAGTAGAAAAAGCAAGCAAGTTTTGGTCCTTTTATCCCATATATTAAAATGATTTAGAGACGAGTAGGCAAAGAGAAATTTTTATAGCAGTTAATGTCTATTTTGCAAAGTAATGATCATAACTTTCTCAATTTTGACACATTTTTTGGAAAAGGGATCCGCCCACATCCCCACACTCATACAGAAAAATATAATTTTCAAGTCCTAAGCTTAAATACTATTCCTTTGCATAATGCCTCATAGTATGGAATTGACTCTGTTTAGCTACTGCAAATCAGAAGATCCTGAGATACTAGTTACTCACTCATTTTCTAATTCAAAAATGGAGTGACATGCAAATAAGTAAAGAAGGCTTTGCCATTTTCTTGCTGTTAAGAACTTCCACATCAATACAGTTAGGAATTCATCAGCTGCCTGCCATCTACAGTTTTTTCATTGTTTCATATCATTGTCATTAAGCCACTTATTAGCCATGTTATTTTCAGTATAAATTTAATACTTTAATCCATTTTTTCATGAATTCCCACAGGTGATTATTTCACAGAATATTGTTGAGTGGCATATTCCCTTTTGGCCTTTCTTAGTACTCATGGGAATTTCTGGACTATAGGACAAATGCTCTTGCTACAAAGTTATGTTAAAATGTTTAATTAATAGGAAACATTATATTAAACCTATTTTTTTTCCTTTGTGATAGATCTCTGATTTGAAATTTCCTTCCTGCCACCCTACATAGAACTCAACTGAATGACTGGCTGTGTTCCTTTCTGTGGATTGCAATGAATTCTCATTCATTAGGGTCTGTTGTTTCCCTTTATTCACAAGATGGTCTGAATCTTGGAGGGTCACACAAATAGCTTCCCCAAACACAAAAACAGAGCTGTCTGTCAGCATAACCAATCCTCTTCATGTTTGAATTGTAATGAACTCTAGCTATTTGTTTCTGAGACTCTATCAACTAACCCCTGTCGGAACAGGCCACATCAGTTAAATGAATTATTAAAACTGTAGATGCCTAAGGCACCACCCTACCGCCAACCACACTGAATGAGAATCTCTAAAGGTGGAGTTTGGGGACCTGCTTTGTAACCAAGTCCTGTAGTGACCCTTGGACATATTAAAATTAGAGAACAATTGAGTCATAATAGGATGTTTAACCTATTTTCAGTCTATTATTCAACATTAAAGAGCCCTAAGACACCCAGTCATGATGGCTTTTTCAGTAGCTATTTTGAAGCAAGCCTGTGTTCTAAACATTTAATGGGGAAAGATAAAATATAAAAAGAAAAAAACAAACAACAACAACAACAAAAACAGCAACACAAAGCCTGACTCAAAAGTGAACCGATATCTTCTTAGACCAGAAAACAAACAACAACAACAACAACAAAACCCATAAATTCAAATTGAAAAGTACAGCTGAAAGTAAATTACTTTTTGGTTCCTGAGTCAGAAGCTGGCAGTAAGAGTAGGGTCTCAGTTTCTGTGTCCAAGTCTTGCTTTTTGAAGCAGGGGATACCAAGGGCTCTGAGCTCATGAAGGAAGCTAGAATTCAGGCTATCCAAAGTACGGCTTTATGCAAACTACAGGCTTAGGGAGACAGGAGGACAAAGAACCATCTTGTGACCAAGAACTAAGCCAAGATAAGAAAAAAAGAAAACCAAATCAAAATCTAAATCAAACCAAACCAAATTAACAAAAATACTGCTACTCAAAATGACCCCGCAAAGCCAAATTCTAAAACTCATGAAGAAAATTCATGCAAAGGAAGACAGCCAATACAGTCTGTAATTAACAAAATCAACAATTAAAACATGAATTTACGTCGATAAAAGTAAGGTAAAGGGCCCATATGACTGAAAAATGGAAATAAGTGCAATATGATTAGGATGCTAATTTTGTAGGCTTAAAAGGCTGAAACGTTGTACTCTCTCTCTCTCCTCTCCACCTTTAGAGCTGTTTTCTCCAAAGTCTGCCTGAGGATTCTTATCTATCTCTGTATCATTGCCCTTTATAATAATTCTATTAAATTTTCTCCTCAGAATTTAGAAATGTTAACAAAGATTTTTACCATGATATTTAAAAGGGAGGCATTACTTCATTTTCTTAAATAGGACAACTGAGATGAAATTAATATTTAAAACTAAAACTTTATGCTGAAAGAAAAAACAAAAAGAAAGGTCTGTCTACCCACTTGTTGACTTAGTCATTAGACTCCATTTTTTTTTTCTCTTTACTAAGGCTAAGCTTATATTTTCAACTGTATTGTGGTATATATAGCCCTACAATGTTTGGTTCCTCACTTGTCTACAGATGTGGAATACCAATTTAAAACAAGGACACTTTAAGCTTTCCTACTGCAGAGTTGGAATTACGCATATTGTGCCACCTTCTTAGGAACTACAAATTTTAAAGGAGTTTGTTGATTTTCCATGTGTCATCATCAACTATACAGGATCCAAAAGCAAAGCATGTCTTCAACTCATTGCAGAGGAGGTGACTAAGATTAAACCAGCGGAGAAGACATAGCCATTCAGAAGGCAGCAACTTGAAAAATCTACCCATAAGTGATGTATTTTCATATGAGAAATAATAATCTCATTCCAGAAAATGGTTTTCATGACCTCTCACTTCTAGCATATCCAGGGATTATCTGCATGAAAGCATTGACAAGAAGGTTGATATGGTGGCCTAGACTTGATTCTCACATTGACTATGATAAAGACATTTAACACATGATGGGATACCTAATAAAATATTTAGGTGTTACCTAATCTTTCATAAAAATTAATCACAAATTTGTTTTAAAAAATTTCAGAAGGCACAGTCAGCTTTTATCTCAATCTCAAAGTCTGCCACAAAATCTTCAGTTCTGGTTTTATGTTGCATACAAAAATAAATATTGCCTATATTGCTTAGCTCTCTAGTTTAAGAAGATTATAGACACATATTTTATCATGTCATCATCTTGAGCTAAACAGGGTGGGTGAAAAATATTGTGGGCAATGAGGAATATTGAAGAGCAAATTGTGGAAAGAAATTAATCCTTTTTTTTTCTTTCTTTTTTTTATTTATTATAATCCTTTGCTTTCTTCTTTCCAATTCTTTTCTTCCTTCTTCTTTGATTCCTTCCCTCTTTTCTTCTTTCCATCATTTGTTATTCAAATATTCATTCAAAACCTAATTTAACATTCAAATTTTTCCTCTATACCAACTGTGAGTGCTAAAAAGATACAAACAGAAAGGAAAAAAGTTAATCTTTCATGGTGTTACTTTCAAGAGGATGTACACAAAGCACTGTTTCAATATGGAAGATACACAAAATGCTGCCTTGAGTGGCAAGAAAATTCTAGCAGAAAGGGTAATAAATTACCTGAGACTACGAAGATTAGTATGAGTTTGCCATGCAGAGAAGTAGGGTGAGATTTTTCAAGGATACACAGGTGGTTAGTCCATGAAGAAGACAGAGAGACACGAGAAAGCACATGTTTTCAAGCAATTACAAAGAAGTCTGGTCTTTTCCTTAGTAATAAACCTGTCATGGTGAATTTTATATGTCAAATTTGCCAGATTTTGGTGCCCAGTTGTTTGGTCAAATTCTAGTCTAAGTGTTGCCATGAAGGTATTTTGTGGTGTTATTACCCTCTATAATATGGTGGGCCTCACTCAGTTGAGATTTTAAGAGCAAAAACAAGTTTCTCAGAGAAGATAGAATGCTGTCTTGAGGCTGTAACATAGAAATCCTGCCTGTTTCCAGCTACTGGACTGCCCTACCGATTTCAGACTTGCTAGCCTTCACAATAATGTGAGCCATTTTTTTGTTGTTTTTCAAATCTCTTTCTCTTTTTCTTTCTTCCCCTTCTTCTAACTTCCTATTGGTTCTGTTTTTCTGGAGAACTTTTGCTAATACTAATGCATACTGAATATTAGCTGTACTATGCACATTTTCATGGCTCATTCCATTTACTCCTTATTAAAACCTTGGAATAATCATGCTCATGATGAGTGACAGACAGAAACTGAAACTTATTAAATAAAAAAAAAAATGACTTGGCTAAGGCCAGTCTTAGCCAGAGGTTGAGCTGCAATTTGAACCTCATTTTGTGTGACTCCAAGGCCTTCACTTTTAATCACTACACTGTTTCCTTAGAATATAAATTGTGGGGAGCTAATAAATATATTTAAAAAGGGGGTAATGGAATTTGATCTCAGTATTAAAAAGATACATTATCTGACAAAATGGAAGATAAATTGGAAACCAATAGGATTTTTAAAATCATGAATATTTGCTTTTTTATAAAACAAAGAATTGGTAAAAATTATACAATATCCAAGGCACAAATGGTCTCATCCGATATCCTATGTCATTTGTCTGGCAAATGGCATCTCCTCCATGTGGCCACTATGCTTGTCTTTCCTGCAGCCAATTGACTTGATTAAGTCTAAACCCTCTCTTCTTTTCCCTCCACTCCTTCATCACACCTGTGTGTTCAAAAGTTATGTTAAAAAAAGGAAGGCCATTTTTTAGACGTCAAAATGTCTATAATGGCATCTGTGTGTGTGTGCGTGTGTGTATGTGTGCCTTTGTGTATTTTCAGTAGCTATTAACATGGTCTAAGGTAATGAGTTCAATTCTGCTAAAACATATTAGTCACAGACCCTGCCTGCAAAGAAGTTATAATCTAGCAAAGTATGTTCAAAAGCAATTATAATACAAGTAAATATAAGAAATATTGAATGAGAGTTGGAGATAATTCTCTATCACTAAGAAGGGACCATCACATCTTTTATAGTTAAAAACATCAGCGAATCAAAAAGCAGACATTTTAGGCAGAAGTAGAAATTAAACTTTACTTTTTTGCTCCTTTTTGGTGCTTTTTGTTGAATAGTGCAGTGATGTGTTAAAAAAAAAAAAAAGATACTTTATCGAGTGTTTATATTTCTTTTCTCCTATGGTACTGCTTCCCAAACAAAGGGAAAGGCATAGATAGATCACTAAATTCTTGAAGTTCTTGTTCGGAGCTATCTATTCTTCTGCCTCCTGGTTCTTCCTCTTTTTTCTACTCAAACTCACCTTATTTTAGCTATTACTGTTAGATTCTTCTTCCCAGTCTTCTGTTGCATGGATAGGGAAAGGGCTGAGTATTAGAGTCAGAAGGATGTGTTTTAGAGTCCCAGATTCCACCATTAGTTATTTCATGACCTTTGAGAAGCTTCTTCTCTGAGCCTCAGGTCTTTCAATTAGAGTAATGATATCTGCCTTTTATGACTATTATTAAGCCTACATGAGATATATGATTATCACTCTCTGGTATATACAGTGAGAGATCAATAAATATTCACTAATTCCCTTAACATGTTTTGGTGATTTTCTATTATACATAGAATAAATTTTCAAATTATTTAGTACGTTAGTATGAAAAGAAATGACTTCTGCAATTTGGTCTTGACCTACCCTTCCATTCATTCCCCTGGGACACTTTAACATGAACTCTGTGCCCAATCAAAACTAGCCTATTTATTGTCTTAAAAACAAATCATATTTCCCCGTAAATTTTGTTCCATTAGCCAATAAAACTTGAAATTTTGGGTGGATCTGAAACTTACGCAACTTGGGAGGTGTTCCGGAAGGAAGGAAGGGAGGGAGGGAGGGAGGGAAAGGAAGGAAGGAAGAAAATTTACAAACACAACATAAAGTACAGGCTTTGGAAGGGGCCCATGCCCCCTGCACTTCCTTTGCTTCCCAGAGAATGTGCCTCTGCCCACTGCAGTTTATTAATCAGCTACCCCCTTTCTCTTTTCTCTGATTATTACATATAATCTACTCTCAACTCTTAAATAGGGCCTCCTCTTTGAAGACTGGCAATTGTTTCAAGCCCACTGCAATCTTTTTCTCGTCTAAATTCTTCTGGTGCTTATTACCTGCACTCCTCATTTAGTCCACATTACATATTGATATATATAGTTACTTAAGTTGACATGCATATATAGTTTTACAAAATGTCTGATTTGATTACCAATTCCCTGGGTATGGCTTTTCTTCTGGCTCTACTTCCCCGCCCAGTCCAACTTAGTGTTTTCTGTATGTAGGTGCTCAGTATTTGTTGATTCATATCACAGATGATATTTTCAAGATCACTTTTTTTAGTGAACAGACAGCACAGATTTTATGTGTTTTACTTAAATATAAATTGCTCCTGTTATAATTTCAAAGGCACTAAACCCACCCAATTAAAATTACATAAAGCACTTCTTATTTACATGCTATGTGAAATGTGTTAAATAAACTAAATTGATATGTAAAATAGATTTTCTCTAAAAGTTAATGCTCATAAGAATTATGGGGCATCTACCTTTTATTTTTGTTACATTTCAGTACCTTTATGTGGGGATAATTTTATTAAATTTTTTACTAAACAATCACCTCAGTGAACTTTATAGTTTCTTTTCCTAAAGAAGTCTAACTCTAAAATAGAGTGTTATCCATATGAAAGAGGGTGTATTTCTAAATGAAGTGTCATTAAAAGCGGCAGCAAGGAAAGCATTTATGCACCATGTCTTAAACCATCCTTCCTTCATTTGTGCTGCTGTTGAAGTATATTTCTTAAGCCCTTGATGTGACTATATCAGCAAAATATAATAAATTAACATGAGTAGTCCTCAACTTTTATTATACTGTATCTTTTCACATGAAAAGCATACAAGTAAGCATGAAATACCATGAATTTTCTACCCCTAACTGCATTATATAAAGAGCTGTCGTAGGCATATGAAGTGCTTTTAATCTGAATGAACTTCATTAGCTTTGGATTTAGTTGTACATTCAGGGTACAAGTTGAAAGTCCTACCTGTTTGCTCAGGCTTTTCTTGAAGTTTGCCTGAGCAACACAGAAAGGATGTAGTGAGATGGGATAGAGGTATTAAAAATTATAAGAAAAAACACCTTTGAACACTCTCAGAGATCTATTCAACAGACTGATACACTTCATCTAAAACTAATCAGGAATTGTTTTATGGGGGCTTCTAGTCAGACATTTAGGAGTCTCCATGACCTATGGACCATGAGGAACCCAAGAAGAGGTGCGTTGTGACAGGAGGAAAAAGAAAAGTCATAGCAACAAAGACAACTGCCATTTATCAAGGGCTTGCTCTGTGCCAGGCACTGTTCTAACTGCTGCGCATGTCTTATCATGCAAGCCTCACAATAACTCTGTGAAGTATATATGGTTATTTTCTTCATTTTACAGATGTCATATAAAGCCTACAGAGGTTAAATAACTTGCCCAAGGCAACAGTTAGGTACCAGCAGAGTTGAGATTTGAAGCCAGACAGTCTGGCTCCAAAGGTACTCTTTAGCCACTGTGGTATGCAGAGAACACAAAATAAATAAATGATATAAAAGACAAGGACCCAATGTTTAAGAAAGTTACATTGTATTGAGGAATGGCTGTTATCTAAAAGCAGAATAACACATTACTATTAACGTACTACTTAATAAATGCTTATAAGTAAAATTAAGTGAAATTAGAAGATAAAAGATAAAAGACATAAAATCATTTTTAAAGTATAGGTAAAATATATTTTCCATATGGAAGACAATGACTCTGCTAATCCATAATGGCCCTGGAGTCTCTTTAAGGGCAATGCTAGGCTAAGTAGAAGCATGTATTTGTATGTGTATATGTGAGTGTGGAGAGAGGCAATTCGTCTGTGTGTGGCAGTGGTCGGGGGGCGGTGTGGTGGAATTTGTCCTCAAAGAATTCCTAATCTCACAATCAGTCATTCATGTAAATAAATAAATGTTTCAAAGATAAGTATAAGTACTTGAATAAGCTAAATAAAATGTAATGATATAATATAACACATATGATATAGTATAAGGCATTACTTAGCTTGATTTAGCCATTCCACAATGTATACTTATATCAAAACATAATTTTATACACCACAAATACATACAATTTTTATTTGTCAGGTAAACAAATAAATAAATTAAAACATTAAGTGTTAGGATGTTGTGATCATGAATATAGAACCTACATGATAAATAAAAAAGCAATCTCTCCTAACATTAATTAAATTGGAACTTCTAGGATAAAATATTTCAGCAACAGCATCATATAAAGGATCAAAAAGTGCTGAATCACAAACAATTTAGACAGGAGTGAAAATTATGTAATCTAGAAAGTGAGCTGGATGGTATAAAAAGCATCATCAGTGATAATGAATATACTGAGATCAAAGATGCACAGGAAGAGATGGAATAAAATTGTTCTGAGAAATAGAAGATATATTAGTCCATTTTCACACTGTTATAAAGAAATACCCAAGACTGGGTAATTTATAAAGGAAAGAAATTTAATTGACTCATAGTTCTGCATGGCTGGGGAGTCCTCAGGAAACTTACATTCATGGCCCAAGATGAAAGGGAGGAAGGCACCTTCTTCACAAGGCACAGGAGAGAGAATGAAGAATGCAGGAGGAACTACCAAACACTTATAAAATAATCAGATCTCAGATCTCGTGGGAACTCACTCACTATCACAAGGACAGCATGGGGAAAACCGCCCCCATGATTCAGTTACCTCCACCTGGTCTCTTCCTTGACATGTAGGGATTACGGGGATTACAATTCAAGGTGAGATTTTCGGTGGGGACACAGCCAAATCATATGAGGAGAGAAGAAAAAAAACTAATATTTCTAAATAATCTTGAAAGTGTGTGCATGCATAAAACAATGCATCAAATATTGTACTTTAAAAAACCACGGCAAGAGAAGCAGAGCATGAAGACTTTTACTAATGCTTATATTCAGGAAGGTCTTCATTCAGGAGGTGATGATGTTTTAGATGTAAAGGTAGTAGCATTTCACTATATAATGATAAAAAGAGGAGGAGGAATGTTAGACAGGTAGATATAAGAGCAGAAGCAAAATCCAAGTCAAAGAGATGGGTAGATAGCCCACGATATAGTCAGTGAACACCATGTAGTCGGATATAGACTTGAAGGACAAGAGTGAGGGGTTGGGGAAAGGTTAAAAGTTGTAGCTACAAATCATACAGGTGGGTCAACATCAAACTGTGAAGGTACTGGAATGCCTTGGCAATGCATTGGGTGTTAATTTAGAAATTAAGAGAATCACCTGTGGTTTTCCTATAAGGGGCTGATTGCTCAGAGAAATGCTGCCAAATGATTCCACTATTATTAGGATATTTACAAATTGCAGAATGTTTTTGTGATGATTAACAGAGTTAGTTATGTAACAGTGTCTGGGAAATGGTAACTGCTAAAAAAGTATAAGCTACTATAATTCTTATGAGTAGTAGCAGGGTTAGTTTCTCTGGGCTGGGTTGTTTGGTCTGATCTAATTCTACTCTTTAACACAGCAACTCCTGTGGTCAATTACAGATATTTGCCAGGATTGTGGATGTAGTGATAACTACATATCAGTGGACCCAAATGGAATCCACTGAGATACTCTAGCATCTGCCATCATTGAGCTTTACAATACAGAAATCAACAAGCGTGTTTAACAAGCTTATTTTAACAGGTGAACATTTGCAAATATGAATACTACATTAATTAGGAAAAACAACCTGATGAGGATAGTCAGCACTGTGATCCACAATAAAAGCAAATCATGCTGTCTTTAAGCCAGTGGGTGTTATCCTTGCATAAGAACCCTAGGATCATGCCCTTAATTAGCTAATTATTTAGATATCAGAAAGGAATCACTTAACAAGGAACACACACCCCATGATACAAATGACATGAGTGGTGTGTAAATTTACTCCAAGAATTAATAAGGAGTGTCAATGAACTACATATGGCATTCATGTGTAATTAAAAACAAATTACAATGTAGAGAAACATGAACATGCTAGTAAATTAATCTCAATTAAAACAAAAAAGTCCCAAAATTTTAAATAGAAAACATACGTATTTTCCACATGAAATATGGAAATGATTTCCCTCTGCTTGACTCAATGTTTATTTAAAAGAATCAACAAGACTGCAGAACTATATAGGGAATATTTCACTGACACTGTGGTGAGCACAAGACCTTTAATGACAACAACAAAAAACAATCCCCTTCCTCATTTGTTTTGGCAATTTTTCCTTCAGCTAATTAAAGATGGTATACTTAAACAAGTAAAAATAATCTACCATAAATAAATAGTGCTCCCCCCTTTTTGTAGTCCTCCATACAATAATAAATATGACATTCCTGATATATAACAGGAAGCAGTATCACTTAGATTTATGAAGACTCTCCCATTTTCCTTGCAAAGGAAAAACTCCTGGACTTGGTGGGCTGTGACCTAATATTTAAACAATCATAGCTTATGTTCTGTGAACTTCATGGTAAACTTCAGTTAACAATGATATACAATAAAAATGACTGTTAAAAAATACATGCGAATATAACCGAATAATAAGTGTAACACTCTAGGAAGCATACAACAGATTCCCCAAATCTACTTTGTTATACCACATGAATTTATTTAAAAGTCATTTTACTAATTTTGGAATTATCTGTTCATTACTTAACTAGCCACTTACTAGCCACTTAACTAGCCACATAATCATTACCCTTACTATTTTCCAAATTAAAAAAAAACTATAAAGATATGAAAAAATATATAAAAATAACAGGAAATTGACGAGATAGGTAAGAAAAATTAGGGTAAATGATATAAGATGAAGCCAAGTATGAAATTAGTACACAAATGCCCAATATAATTTCTCATATACTCTATTAGACATTGGGTGCAAATTTGTCTCTGAGTTTCCTAGAAATCAATCCCGAAAACATGGTTAGTTTCTTAAAACACAATCCAAAAAACTAAAAATAGGCATAATGCATCATTGAAGCATTGAAATTGAATTTCATAACGCAATGATGCATTATGTTTCAAAAATATTTTGCAATATTTTTCAATTTCAATTTTATTGAAATTCCATATGATGGAATTTCTCTCCTATGTTTTCATGTACAAAAAGAACCAATCTATATAGTGAACAATGAGCTAAGATAGAAAAGTAGCCAATCAATGTATACCATGTGATACCAACATCCTTATAATAAATGCAAAAGCAGGTTCTGAGTGACTTTCTTAAAATGTGGTAATGTGGCCTGCTGATTTAAGCCTTCATGCCAATCATAATAAATTGGCTTAGTTTTCCATGACCTAGATTATTCCAAGCACATTATTTGGATTACAAAGGACTAAAAAGACTTTAGTGGTTCTTGAATTGTGGTTTCCAGACCAGTAACATGAACATGACCTGGGAACTTATTAGACATGCACATTTGGGGTGGGTTTCCACCTCAACTATTCTGAATCAGAAACTCTAAGGGAGTGAGGCCCAGCAATCTGTAATACTTCCAGGTGATTCAGACACATGCTCAGGTTTGAGAAACATCACTTTCCACAATATTCTCTATGTACTTTTTATAGGTATTGTTTTTGTTTTGTTTTGTTTGTTTGTTTGTTTTTGAGATGGAGTCTCACTCTGTTGCCTACACTGGAGTGCAGTGGCATGATCTCAGCTCACTGCAACCTCCATCTCCCGGGTTCATGCCATTCTCCTGCCTCAGCCTCCCGAGTAGCTGGGACTACAGGCGTCCACCACCACGCTGGGCTAATTTTTTTGTGTTTTTAGTACAGACGGGGTTTCAGCGTGTTAGCCAGGATGGTCTCAATCTCCTGACCTCGTGATCCACCTGCCTTGGCCTCCCAAAGTGCTGGGATTACAGGCATGAGCCACTGTGCCTGGCCATGTATTGTTTTTGTTTGTTTGTTTTTTTGTTTGTTTGTTTTGTTTTGGTATGGATGTATTGGGAAACAAGACCAAATTCTTTGACAAAATCTTATTATCCAATTGGGGGCTTACCCAAGGATTTAGTTCCTTTCTCTTATTCCTTCAACTGGTATCTTTCTAGCAACTTCCCTTTTGAACAGCAACTCCACTGGAAAGAAATAAATGTAAAATTAGACAAGATACAATTGTTAATTTGAACACACCTATTACCAATATTTAATGAGTTCAGATACTTTAGTTAGCAAGGCATGTGTCCACCTGAAGTTTACAATCTAGCACAAAGATAGAATTTTCAGCATATTTTTTTCAGTGACTTGAAGAATGTTATTCTCTTATCATTCCTGTTCTCTTATCAAGAATAGTCAATAGTAATGTAGTATTATTCCATAGTGTGCATAAGCCAATTTACTATTCCCAGAATAAAACTGAAGTAATTTTAAGCGAGACTTTATTTGGTTCAAGAGAATAATTGGGAGAACCTTTTCATCAAGTATCTCATTAAGTTTTATCAAACAACCTTTGATTATCACTTTCTTTCTGGCATATATATATATGTATATATATGCCAGAAATATATATATATATATCTGAATCACCTGGAACTATTACATACACACACACACACACACACACACACATATATATACACACATATATATGCCAAAAGTTATATATGTATATAACTTGACAAAGAAAAAAAATCACTTTTGGCTTTCTCTTGTGCAAGTCTCTACATTAAGACTTATATTCAGTATTTTGGGGTTTGGATCACGTTATCCAAGATCCTAATTTTACATATGAGCAAACTGAAGTCTATGTGAGGACCCCATGAGAAGGCAGCCATGTACTAGCCAAGAAGGGAGCCCTCACCAGAAACCAACCATTCCAGCACAGTGGTCTTGAACTCCCCAGCCTCCAGAACTGTGAAAAAACTAATTTATTCTGTTTAAGCTAACCCTGTCTATGGTGTTTTGTTCTCATAGCTGAATCTGAAAATAACTTTTAAAACACCTATGTATAGCCTTTTAGAATTTAGAAGGACTTTTTTAGTGCTTTACAGTTTTATGACACAGGTTTTAAATTACTAGTTTCTAATAAATGAAGCAATTTTTGGCGGCTATGTTTCAAATAATAAGACACGCTAGATATCCTGACAGGTCTTCTTCCCATTATGGAATAATCAGACCTTGCATAAAATATAACATATGTGGTATGCCTGAGCTTATGGGTAATAAAGAAAAGCCTGATGTTCCCAGCGCCATGACCACCATCATCACGTAAACTGAAACTCAAATGGTGAACAATACACATGCACTGAAGGTGAGTTTACACAGAGGGTGAATGTTAATATCAGCATCAAGAGCTATCATGGAAGAGAGGGGGACTAAAACTGAGGCACTGAATTAAGCCATGAAAGGATTATATTGCTTCTAGGAATGCAGCTCCTTTTGGTTCCGAGGAGTAACAAAATTACAAGCTCTCTGGAGAAAAACATCCTACTTATAGACCCCATAATATTCTGTAGATTAAAATCAATTACATATGAACTCTCAATTATGGGCCAATGTGTAATGTATTCACACAGCAGAATATTTTATAGTAGGGTTTGGCAAACTTTTTTCTATAAAGGGTCAGATATTAAATAGCTTAAGCTTTGTGGGTCACATACAGTCTCACATGTTTTTTACAACACTAACAATATAGAAATAATTCTTATCTCATGGGGCTTACAAAAACATATGGTTGTTTGGATTTAGTACATAGGTCAGATTTGGCCATAGGTCAGTGGGACATAGATTGCTAACCCCTGCTATATACATCATTGAAAACCAACGAACGTAAGTAATCAGCCTAAACGTAAGTAACACGGTAACACAGTAAGACCCCATATCTACAAAAAAATATTTAACACAGTAAGACCCTATATCTACAAAAAAAAAGTCTAACACAGTAGGACCCCATATCTACAAAAATAAAAATAAAAATAAAAATTAGGCGAGTGAAGTGGTGTGCATACACCTGTAGTCCTAGCTACTAAGGAAGCTGAGGTGAGAGAATGACTTGAGCCTAGGAGTTGGAGGCTGTGGTGAGCTAGGATCTCACAACTTCACTCCAGCCTGGGTGACAGAACAAGACCCTATCTCTAAAAAGTATATATAAATAAATTAATCAATAATTAATGTTTAAAAAGAATTAGAAATACAAACCCAAAATTCAGTATAGTTATTTCTTCTCGAGGGGGGGAAATAAATGAGAACACATAAGTAGATGAAATACTCTCAGTAATATTCTAGATCTTAAATTGGGTGGTAGAATCATGGGGATCTTTTTCTATTATGTTTCATAACTCATATAGATGCTTCACGCATTTTTATATTTCAAATTTTATATCATTGGAAATATCACTGTATCTCTAAATGATTTAATTTTATAAAAGTAATTTTATTCTTAGTAGTCAGGTCACTGGCTCTCCATGACATCATACTTCTCACTGCTAAAAGAACAGTCGTGGAAACTTTCAGGAGAAATACATGAATAAATTAACTGAGACAGACTTACATAAGTAATTATGAATCCCTTTCACATATATAAATATTGTATATGTACATGTGGCCATAAAAAATTTAAAATTTGAAATACTGGATAAAGTAATCTATTTCCTGAAGTTTAAAACAGTTCATAAGATTATGTTTATATGACTCAAAGACAAAGGTTCAATGGCTATATTGTACAGCAGGAATAGTTATAACGTCTGTCAACCGTATGTATATATTTTCTAAATACACACATTACGCAAAGAAATTACAAAACCTCAAAACTATAGTTCACCTAAAATAAATATGGCATTGTATACAGGGTGTTGGCTTGGTGCTAAGTAATTATGGGAAATAACGTGAATGTGATCCTTAAGTTACACAGGCTTATATCAGATTTCTGCAAAAATCATATAAAATTCCTTTTTCTAAGGGTCTGCAGGGGAAACACAGAATATTAATTTTCATGGTGTTCCATTCCAATATTTCTTTAAGAATTATATGTCTGGATAAGGCAGTTACTACATACTAGCATTAATATAGTTGAAAACATTTCATGAATTGAATGAGAATATTTCCATCCAAAAAGTGCCAAATAACAGGTCACCTCAAGTGAATGGAGAAAGGTATAATTATGGGTACATTTAATACCTGTAATGAATTGAAACTTTGAAAGCTTACCATTGTTTATATGTCATATACTGGTTATAAATAAATTTTTTAAAGGTATAGCACAAAGAGAACATTAAAACTTCAAAGATGTTATACTATATATATATATACTGTATTTGTTATACTATGATGACATACTATATTATTCAGTTATATTCAATCTTGACTGCCAAGCAAAATATATTTGCCTAACCTGAAATTATGGATTTTTATTTTCTTTTCTCTTCAAATTATTTGGATTTAAGCTAGCATTTATAACTAACAAAGTCTGATAGATGATCAGATAAAGACTAAGAAAAAATTCACATGCTATAAGTTAAGATATGAATTGATGGAGGAAAAAACACCACTCCGTAATAAGTTGAGGTGATAAAAATGTTCACTAAGATTTCATGGAAAAAGTGAAGTAATACTACTTTATGTTACTCAGATAAACTAAAAATAGTTCACAAGCAATGTTTTAACTTTTAAAAAATGTAAAAATAAACTTTTGGCCAATGTCATAGATCCCCAAAGACAAATTTTTAGAAGTCTAAGCACCAACGATATTTAAGTTGGAATGAATAGCACTGTTACTGTCTTTCAAGTCACAATAAAAACCTATGTAATAAACCCTGAATTTTCAACCATTTTAATGAATCTGCTTATTTATTATGTTGACCATTGCCAAGGATACTAAAGCAAATAAGCTTTTTAAATGTACTTATTCATTCATTCACTAGAAAACAAGATGTAGCAATTACATACTAAATATTGGTCAAAATAAGTGAAAAGTTAATAGAATCTTTTTCTATTTTTCTTTTTTTTTTTCTTTTTTTTAGACAGAGTCTCCCTCGGTCACCCAGGCTGGAGTGCAGTAGCCAAGCGTAGCTCACTGCAGCCTCAAAAGTCCTGAGCTCAAGTCATTCTCCCACCTCAGCCTCTGAAGTAGGTGGATCACAGGCGTGCACCACCACAGAAGGCTTAAACCATATAATCTTCAGAATCACATTGTCTGCTGAAATAATATGCTCTTAAAACCTAATTTGCTTTCATTGCAGTAATAAGCAAAATACTGTTAGTTGTACTATAAATACTTTTAAATTAAAATATTGTTTCACTTTTGTAATAGCCAGGTTTATTTTCTCAACATTTTCCAACCTAGATCATCAAAATAGCACCTTTTCGTCATACCTTAACCATCTTATTTTGTTTATTTTCATGGACATATTTGTAGTAAATATTTCTAAGTATTTATAATATGCAATATTTTGTTTAGAAAATTGATGCATGCTCAGTGTAGAGAAATTAGTAAACAGTGAAGTATAAATAAGCATTAGATATTCATATTTCCACTACAAATAAATGATCTCTGTTAATATTTTGGCATGACTTCTAATCTGGTTTGGCTGCATCCACACCCAAATCTCATCTTGAATTCCCACATGTTGTGGGAGGGACCTGGTAGGAGATGATTGAATCATTGGGATGGGTCTTTCCCATGCTGTTCTTGTGATAGTGAATAAGTCTCACAAGATATGATGGTTTTGTAAGAGGGAGTTTCCCTGAACAAACTCTCTCATTGCCGGATGCCATCCATGTAAGATGTGACTTGCTCCTCCTTGCCTTCCACCACGATTGTGAGGCCTCTCCAGCCACATGGAACTGTAAGTCCACTAAACCTCTTTCTTTTGTAAATTGCCCAGTCTCAGGTATGTCTTTATCAGCAGCATGAAAATGAACTAATACACCTTCTTTGAGACACAGATTTAGATATAAGCATGGGTCCAGGTATGAATATGGGTTAATAGGTAAATAGATATGTCTGAAGCAGGCAGTAAGGATACTCTTGCATGCCTGAGAAACTATAACCAATGGCTACAAAGAAGCATTTAGAAAAATGCTTAGATGCTGAAAAGTAATATGTGAGTATATGTAGGGTATATGAATCATGGTGATTATAATTATTTCCCAGCACCTTCTACTCCAAGTGTGGTCCACAGGCAGGTGTCATCAGCATTACCTAGGAGCTTGTCAGAGATGCAGAATGTCTCATTTCTTGCATATGAATCAGAATCTGCATTTTAACAATATTCTACTGATTTTCATATTAAAATTAAAATTTGATTCTCACATTAAAATTTGAGAAGCACTGGCTGGGCGCAGTGGCTCACACCTGTAATCCCAACACTTTGGGAGGCTGAGGCAGGCAGATCACGAGGTCAGGAGTTCGAGACTAGCCTGACCAACATGGTGAAACCCTGTCTCTACTAAAAATACAAAAATTAGCTGGGTGTAGTGGCGCACACCTGTAATCCCAGCTACTTGGGAGGTTGCAGTAAGCCAAGGTCACACCATTGAACTCCAGCCTGGATGACAGAGTGAGACTCCATCTCAAAAAAAAAAAAAAAAAATTTGAGAAGCACCACCCTAGATGCTTTGTGAGCCATATATAGCAAGTAGAGGTGGTGTATTAACATCAAACTTTTGGTTAGGCACAATAGGCACAAGTGTTTATGAGCCCACAGTACCTTAAGGGACTCATGAAATAGTTTTAATTTCTTTTAAAATCAAAATTTAAAAATAAACTTTTATATGGAAGAAAGTATTTTAATATGTAATCTTAGTATATTTCATCTTTATTTCAGTGCAACTCTAAAATACAATTTTAATATGTTTCTTTGTGGAGGAAGGGGCCCAGGAAAGCAAAAATTCCTAGCGCCCACATAAAGTGACAAATAACAAAACACCCCCCAAAATGAAGGAAATCCTGGGCAGCTGTCTCAGTGACATCTCCTTTTTTATCTCTGTCATTAACTGTTAGATCTACTTTTCAGAAAGAATTACAGATCCCCCCCAAAAAAGACCTTACTATAAATCAATCATTTGTATGCAATTTATATGCCTACTAATGTCCATAAATGTTCATTTTAAAAGAAAACCTATTGTACTTACTTTTAAAATGTCTTCTGTTTTTAAATTTGCATGATTTCACAGGTATTTTCAAATGCCAATAAACATTTCTCTAGCTGGGTTTTAATGACCACATTAAATTTCATGGTATAAAATATAAACTTCTAGTGAATTAGTTTCCACTTGTTGCTACTATGAGTAACACTATGATAAATAAATATCCTTGTCGCAAATCCATGATTATTTTCTTCAGCGAAATTCCTAAAGTGAAATTACTATATATACTTTTTAAACATGTATAGCTTTGGCTAACTTTCAATTTTGATAGTTTCAAACTTATAGAAAAGTTGCAGGAACCATGCAAGGAGCTCCTCCATTCCCTTTCCCTAGATACGTCAGTTTTGCCCCGTGCCCCATTTGCTTTGTGTTCTGAATTCTCTGTCTTGCTCTCTTTCTTTCTCTCTCTCTCTTTCTCCATCTGTCTATCTCTATCTGTATCTCTCTCTTCATCTCCCTCTTTCCCACGACCATTTGAGAGCAAGTTGATACAAATCTGTCCCTTAGCCACTGAATAAATATTTGGTGTGTTTTTCCCCAAAGCAAAGATGCTGTGTTATACGACCACGTGAACACAATTATGAAAATCAGGGAATTAACATGGGCATACTGCTATTATCTGTTGCACACTCCATACTTCAGTGTAGCCAACTGTGCTGTCAATGTTCTTTAGACGTCCCCACTGCCATCTCCCACCTCCTCACCCCAGAATCCATTTCAGGATTCACATCACATTTGTTGTTATTCAGTCACCTTTAGTCTGGAACAGCTCCACATTGTTATTCTTGTTCTGGACAATTTTGGGTTAGTTTTTGTTTCAAATTTTTGTGGGCACATAGTAGGTGTATATATTTATGGGGTACATGAGATGTTTTGATACAGACATGCAATGTGAAATAAGCACATCATGGGGAATGGACATTTTATGGTATTGATATTTATTACAAAATAACTCTTTAAATAATATTGCTTCTTATGAGAGGAAGCATATAAGCATGTCCATTTCTTCATATTTTTAAAACATTAATATTCTTTTTCAGCTTTCTCATCTGATAACCACAATATACATTTTGTTTTTCTTTAAATATTCATTTCCTAGATTACTAGTGAAGCTGAATATTTTTTCTTTTCACATTATTCTTTCATGTCTTTTGTGTATTCTTCTATTTGAGATTTTGTCTTTTTAATTGATTTATAGATATGTTTCATTCTTTATATAATAAAGATGCTACCCTTTTGCCGACAAATATTTTTCCCGGGGTCATTCATGGTGCATGATAAAGAGAAGCTTTTCATTTGTATGTAGTGTTATATAATCAGTATTTCTTACTGATGCTTTTGCCTTTGGAATTGGGCTTGACAAAACCTTTCCTACTCATTATATCAATATCCTTCTAAATTTTCAACTAATTATTTTATTACCTGTTTTACATTTACTTTTGAGCATTATAAAGTATATTTTTGTACCTAACTTACATTTTCAAAAAATGTAATTAATTATTGCCACTGATTTGGAATGTCAACTTTAAATTATATTAATCATACTAAACACTGAACAAAATAAATTTGCATCCAAATTCAATATTTTAGAAGAAACAGGAATAACAGAACTTTACACCAGAAGAAATCATAGGATATAATTTATTAATGAAGATAAAGGAAAACATGTGTTTGATGATTCAAAACAGAAAATAATTTTCCTTTTTAAAAAGGGATTAAAAATTGTATTTTGTTGTTTTGTTCTGGGTCTGTTAAGCTGGGGCCTCACACTTAAAACTGTAGTAATATATATAACCATCTGGAGAATATTTTTTAATAAAGGGAAAGAGACAATTTTATTATTTACATTTTAAATAGACCATATAGAAATTAGCTTATTTGTCAATTTATTTTTACCTCCAAATCCCCTCACTTAAAATTTTGATCTTTAAGAGGAGAAATATCTCCAACATCAATTAAAAAGATATCTAATACATTTGGACTGCAGCCTACTAACCATGTACCCCTTATATTACATAAGATGGCACATTCATTGCCAAACATACGTTTTATAAATTAAACAAATTTTATTATAAAGCTGTTTAATGAAACTAGCAAATTTAGACTTGTTTAAATGTCAGTAAAATATTAAGTACCATATGTTCTTTGCCAAGTAGTTTTTGGAAGCACATGAAATTAATTGTTAAACAAGAGAATTTATCGACTTAAAGTACTTCACAATCAATGTTATCATTTAATGCATCTTTTGGCAATTATTAAACCCTAGGGAACAGCATGAATATCCTTATCAAGTCTGGAAAGACACTAATGGGGAGGAGAATGGACTGTCGCTTGCATTTACATGTGGGCATGAGCTCAGAGAAAAGTGAAGGAAAAAAACACCATAAAAATGCCCTCAGGCTCAATGCCCAGGACAGATATATTGCACAGCCACCAGAGTTTCCAACAGCACCATTTCCTTCATTAATCTGGTGTTTTATTCCTCTTCTTTTTTTTAATTTTTGGATGCTTTTCAATTTTTAAGATAGCTAGAATTCTTTTTTACATCTATATGCATTCTTTACTGCTGAGATGATTAGTTCATATCCATGATTAATAAGAATGTCCTATTAAGAACTTAATATAGTTAAAAGTGTGTGAAAAGATTCAGGTTGGTTAAATTTATAAGTTATTAATGATAATAACATAAGAGTTATTAAGCACTATTATTGCCAGGCACTGTTCTAAGCATTTTACAATTATTATTTTATTTCTCCAAGCTATCATATGAGGTATTTACTTAGTTTTGTCTCTATTTTACAGATGAGGAGACTGAGCAAAGATGAAGTTCAATAACCATTTTATTTTTAAAACTTCATGGAAAACTGAAATACGTACTTCTCTGACTTGGGAAATGTAGTTATTAAATATAATTGTAATTTTTTAAGTCTCAAGATCATAAATACCTCTGTTTTTAACATAAATGATACTCATACTATTATAGGTATCAGCAGGCAAATAATTAAATTTGGAGTTTTGTTTGTTTTATCTTTGTTTTGTTTTTAGTTTTGAAGTTTGAGTGAATATCTGGTTGAACTCTCGGTCTAAAAATCTGATTGAAAGAGAAAAAGCTATTTAGATACTTGATGAATCTGCATAATCAGTTTCCAGTAAATCTATTAGGTTGACGCAAACATAATTGTGGGTTTTGCCATTAAAAGTAATGGCAGGCCAGGTGCAGTACACACCTGTAATCCCAGCACTTTGGGAGACAGAGGCAGGTGGATCACCTGAGGTCAGAAGTTCAAAACCAGCCTGGCCAACATGGTGAAACCCCATCTCTCCTAAAAATACAAAAAATTAGCGACGCATGGTGGCAGGCACCTGTAATCCCAGCTACTCGGGAGGCTGAGGAAAGAGAATCGCTTGAACCCAGGAGGCGGAGGTTGTGGTGAGCCGAGTTTGTGCCATTGCACTCCAGCCTGGGCAACAAAAGCAAAACTCCATCTCAAAAAAAAAAAAAAAAATTAATAGCAAAAACAGCAATTATGTTTGCACCTATCTAATAGGTGAGGCAACTTTTTTTGAATAAGGACTAGAAGACTGCACATAGTGTAGAGGATGGAGTGACGAGCTGGAGTCCTGGTGCACTGTGAAGGATGTAAATGGAAGGGGTAAGAATGTTTCCCAGTAACAACCTGAAACACAGGGATTGTGCCAAAAAATACTTTCTCCTATATTCTATTTCTACCATTAATCACATTCACACCATCTCCTCCTCATACCATCTCATCCTAACAAGCAATATGAGATGCTTTTCTTCCAGAAGTCTCGGATGTCTTCATAAAACCATAAGGAAGGGCCATGGCTGATTGTTTAACCAAAAGTGTATGATTGTAAGAGTTTGAAACAGTCATTAACACAAAGTTAAATAGCCTAAGTATGTGGGTTTTGCAGCTGACCTTAATATTTGATCCAATGTTTTACATTATTACCACATGACATAGGTGATATTGTAAAGTGTTTCTGTGAAAGCCATAGCAGGGTTATATTATTTCACTGGTAGAATCACAAAGTTTGGGCTTTTTAGCACTGCATTTACTGTAATTAAGCTAAGTAAGAAATATATAGTTTAAAACAAGGAAGGTTTTTGTATTAGTCCATTTTCACACTGCTGATAAAGACCTACGCGAGACTGTGTTATTTACAAAAAAAAGAAGTTTAATAATGTACAGTTCCACATGGCTGGGGAGGCCTCACAATCATGGTGGAAGGCAAGGAGGAGCAAGTCACATCTTAAATGGATAGTGGCAGGCAAAGAAAAATATTGGGCAGGGAAACTGCTCTTTATAATATTGTCAGATTTTGTTTATTCACAAGAGCATGGGAAACACCTGCACCCATGATTCAATTACCTCCCACTGGGTAACTCCCACAACACATGGGAATTCAAGATGAGATTTGGGAGGGGACACAGCCAAACCATATTATTCTGCCCTGGCCCCTCCCAAATCTTATGTCCTTAGATTTCAAAACCAATCATGCCTTCCCAACAGTCCCCCCAAAATCTTAAACCATTTCAGCATTAATTCAAAAGTCCATAGTCCAACATCTCATTTTGAGACAAGGCAAGTTCCTTCTGCCTATGAGCCTGTAAAACCAAAAGCAAGCTAGATATTTCCTAGACACAATGAGGGTACAGGCATTTGATAAATGCATCCATTCTAGATGGGAGAAATTGGCCAAAACAAAAGGGCTACAGGCCATCCATGCAAGTCCAAAATCCAGCGGGGCAGTCAAATCTTAAAGCTCCAAAATGATCTCCTTTGACTCCCCTATCTCACATCCAGGTCACATTGAAGCAAGAGGTGGGACCCCATGGTCTTTGGCAGCTGCACCCCTGTGGCTTTGCAGGGTACAGCCTCCCTCCCCGCTGCTTTAACAGGCTGGCATTGAGTGTCTGTAGCTTTTCCAGGTGCACAGTGCAAGCTGTCAGTGGATCTACTGTTCTGGGGTCTGGAGAATAGAGGCCCACTTCTCACAGCTCCACTGGGTGGTGTCCCAGTAGAGACTCTGTGTGGGGCTCTGACCCCACATTTCCCTTCTGTACTGCCCTAGTACAGGTTTCTCATGAGAGCCCTGCCCCTGCAGCAAATTACTGCCTGGACATCCAGGCATTTCCATACATCCTCTGAAATCTAGGCAGAGGTTTCTAAACCCCAGTTCTTTACTTCTGTGTACTTGCAGGCTCAACACCACGTGGAAGTTGCCAAGACTTGGGGCTTGCATCCTCTGAAGCCATGACCCAAGGTCTACATTGGCCCCTTTCAGCCACGACTGGAGCTGCTGAGATGCAGGGCACCAAGTCCCTAGGCTGCACACAGCGTGGGGACCCTGGACCTGGCCCACGAAACCACTTTTTCTCCTAGAGCTCAGCTCCTATGATGGGAGAAGCTGCCTTGAAGACTTCTGACATGCCCTGGAGATACTTTCTCCATTGTCTTGGTGATTAACATTTGGCTCCTCATTACTTATGTAAATTTCTGCAGCCGGCTTGAAATTCTCTTCAGAAAACGGGTTTTTCTTTTCTATCACATTGTCAGGCTGCAAATTTTCTGAACTTTTAAACTTGGCTTCCTTTATAAAACTGAATGTCATTAACAGCACCCAAGTCACTTTGCTGCATATATATTTCTTCCACTAGATACCCTAAATCATCTCTCTGAAGTTCAGTTCCACAAATCTCTATGGCAGGGGCAAAATGCTCTCTTTGCTAAAACATAACAAGTGTCACCTTTTGTCTGGTTTCCAAGTAGTTCCTCATCTCCATTTGAGACCATGTCAGCCTGGACTTTACTGTCCATATCACTACCAGGCTTTTGGTCAAAGCCATTCAACAAGTCTCTGGGAAGTTCCAAACTTTCCCACATTGTCCTGTCTTCTGCGCCTTCCAAGCTGCTCCTACCTCTTACCCAGTTCCAAAGTCAATTCTACATTTTCAGGTAACTTTTCAGCAATGCCCCACTCTACGGGTACCAATTTACTATATTAGTCTGTTTTCACATTGCTGATGAAGACATACCAAAGACTGGGCAATTTACAAAAGAAAGAGGTTTAATGACTTACACTTCCACATGGCTGAGGAGGCCTCACAATCATGGCAGAAGGCAGGGAGGAGCAAGTTACATCTTGCATGGATGGCGGCAGGTAAAGAGAGAGATTGGGCAGGGAAACTCCCCCTTATAATACTGTCAGATCTCATGAGACTTATTCGCTATCACAAGAACAGCACAGGAAAGACCTGCTTTCATAATTCAATACCTTCCACTGCGTCCCTCCCCTAATACACTGAAATTCAAGATGAGATTTGGGTGGGGACACAGCCAAACCATATCAGTTTTGTACAGACCAAAGGAAACTATGGAGTTTAGTGAGATAGTGAGGTAACAGAAAAGTCTCCTTTAGCTCATCCTACCTCCCACTGAAAGACCCATATATCCCCTTTTTGTTAATGCTCTGCATGCGAATGCTAAAAGGTGAATAATATGTTAGGGAAGAAAAAAGAAAAATGGAAAGAACTAACATTGGCTGAGCACCTGGTACAGGTCACACCAAGGAACTGTGAAGATCTGTAGCAGACCTCACAATAACCTGTAAGGGAGATGGTGTTATCTCTATGATAGAGGAAACGAAAATAAACATCATGAAGTAAAATAACTTGTAAGTTACTATGAATTGTAAGTTTACACTACTGTTAGGTAGTAGATACAGGATTCAAACTCGGGTCTTTTTGCATTCTAAGTTTATATATAGATATTATCTTTAGTGCTGTAGATTAAATAATTTATCAATTATTTGCTAAATTAGCAAATATATGGAATTACTGGAATTAGCTACCTAGCAAAACCCAGCAAAAAAGGGTAATGGACAAAACTGATACATTTTGGTCACTACAGTATTTTAAAAATACAAAGAGAGAGGAGGTGAGAAAGCAGTAGGGTTACTATTGAGTATTGGAAGGAAAAAGAAATAGTCAAAGGAGCAAAAAATGTGAGAGATAAATGTTGTCTCAACAACTTTGTCTATGGGTTGTCATAAGAAAATGTTTGCCGTGAGCTAAGTGAAACTGGAATAAAATAACATATATGAAAGCATCTAGCATCAAGACTGTCAAATAGATGGTACTTAAATAATACTTTTCTCCTCTGAGAAACTGTTTTCATCTGACTCTACTGTCATTTTGTGCCTCTGATCCTGCACCTATATTGCTCATTCTTTTTCCATTTGTATTTCCAGAAGGCAGTATTATGCAGAGGAAAACCATGAGCTATGGAATCACAGAAAACCAACTGTGATGCTGTGACTTACTGTGTGGTACTTACTGTGGCTATGTGGCTTTGGACAAGTTATGTGACTGCTCTGAGTCTCAGACATGTTTTCTGATTTGATCTACATAGCCCAAGTCTCCAATTATAAAGTGATGAATCGTCTGTTTACTCTCTTCCTTAAGTTCTAGGGCAGTGGTATCCAATCTGACATGCATCAGATTCACGTACAGAACTTTAAAAATACATATGTCTGTGCCCCACTCTAGACCAGCATTGTCTAATACAAATATGAGGCCAGCTACATATGTAATTTTAAATTTGCTAGACCCCCCGACATTGCTAAAGTGAAAATAAATAGGTTAAATTTATTTCAATGATTTATTTTATTTAACCCAATACATTAAAAACAGTATCTTTCAATATACAAAAGTTATTACAAATAATATTTTATATTCTTTTTGTTCTCAGTCTTTTAAAACCATCTCAGTTCAGGCTAGCCACATCTCAAGTACTCAATAGTCGAAAATGGCCAGTGGTGCCCATATTGGACAGTGCAATCCTAGATCTCTGTCTTGTTCTGGCATTATTTTGGGGAAGTGACTACTGTTCTGAGCCTAGTACAGTTGGAGAGACATATGCTATTCCAAATCTCTGTCCTTTCAACCTTTCTAAAGAAGCTGTTATGAATCTCTTTCTTTAAAAAATGTTATTCTAATTTTATCTGGAATGCCAAGGCATCTCAATTCAATTTTGATTCATACATACTATACAAATGAACAAAACTCTATAATCCCATAAAATAAAATACATTGTTAACTTAATTCTATACATTTTCTAAGGTTTTTGATTTTTGGTGTTTTTGTTGTTGCCTTACATGTCCATTTTCTTTCAAAATTATCTTTGTTGCAGGAATGAATAATTGAATTAAATGATTGTTGAATTCAACTATTGAAATGATTCTAAAACTCTCATCCTGCAATGCTAGAAAAGATGTCCCCCAACATATTCTGTTCTATGGGAGTGGGAAGACTATATAACCTTTTATCAGCTTAATTACAAAGTCCATTTAAACAGAACTCCCTGGGAACTGTAGGGTTTTAATCTTTATGGTGTACAATTATCTTTACCCAGTAAGTGCATGAAATAAACTACACTGTTCCTGATTCTCAGTTCAAATTTTAAAAAACATGTTGTGAGAGATAAATATAGCATGTGAGCAAACATGGCTTGCTGCTCAATTGTTCAAAAATGTATCCACACAAACAATTGTTGGGGTAATTATTAATGCTAAAAATATGTGAAGTTGCAGTGACTGTGCACTTGAAGTCTAGTATGTGTCGTTTGTTTTATTCATGATAAACAGATCATTTAGATGGAAAATCCCATCTGCTTAGATATATCTCTTATTATTTATGAGAACCATGTTTAGGAATGCAGGCAGCACATGTGCATAATTAATCCTGAAGAGAATTAGACATTGTTTGATTCACAGCTGAATGCAATTAGCATTAGGAAGTTTACATATGTTGGCAATAACACAGATTAGCAACTAAAGTGCTTGTTAAAAAATTTAACCTGAGGCTGCTGGATCAGACCTCTCTTAATGATGCTTTAAATGTTGTTGATGAAGTAATAATCAATTTTGTTTTATAAATAGTAAACCAAGAATTTAGGTCTAATTAACAGTGCTACAGATCACTTCACTTACATATCAGATGTACTTGTGATATGTACTATGAACTTTCTTTGAATCTCATGTGCAAACAGTTGTTATGGAGCAGACATGATCCTTTCTAGAAAAAAAAAATTCTATTTTCTAGCTAGGGAAGGGTGACTATCTGCCTTTCAGAAGGACTCATCTAGAGGCGTTTAGCATGAGAATTCTGTCTTTGTCTCTTTGCTGCTTTTAATTGTGGGAGAAACAACGTCCTCTCCTTCACAAGCAGAGCCATTAGCCAGCTTACAGACTGTGAAACAGAGTCATCTAATGGGGAGGGAGGAGAGAATGGAAATGATGAAAATGAGGCCAAAAGTAAAATTGAGCTGTAATTGTTTGCACTTCAACTTTGAGAAGTTCACCATTAATTAAAATGTTTCTGCATCACTCACCACCAGACTGGCAAGAAGGAGGTAAGGCTGTGAGAGAGGCAGCCCTGGTGCCTTTCAGAAAGCAAGCAAGGCCTTTTAGCAAATATCTCCAGTACACAACTGCAGCAGAATCACGGGGAGGCAGTCAGGCACATTCTCCTGTGACATTACTCACGCAGCCCTTATTTGTGTTTTTGACTTTTCCTGTGCCTCATTATAAATTAGCATTATACATTTTCAGAATCGATGGGAATAGAGATGCCATTTATTCGGGAAACATTTACCACATTTCATAGAGTCTAAGTCTCACATTTATTTTTTCATACTTTAGCATCTCTGAAATGTAAGATGCAGTGATAACCATCTCAGAGTTAATTGGCAATATTTTTTCTTTAGTACATAAATAATGATAACAGCATCTTAGATCCAATTATTAGTCCATTATTATTAAATATATAATTCTTAAATATTAAGTTAAATAATATTACATATTATTAGATATTACTCAGTTATCATAAATGCCTTTTCTGTGCCAACTAGCGTGCTAGGGATGAGGAATAAATGAGAAGATATAATATGATGTGAGAAAGGTTATAATAAAGGTATGTACAAACAGAATGCTTGCAACTGAAACTGCAGAAACTTCATTTACTTGGGGCTCAACAGGTATGTGCACATGAGATTTTGTAACAGGTCTGTCCATTTATAAAGAGTCATCATGATAGTGACTTTTGAGTGATAAGCAATGACAGCAGACAATTCTAGAATGGAAGCTCTATGTGGGCAGGAACTTTTTAACTATTTGTTCACTGCTGAGCTCTCAACACTGAGAACCATGCTTGGCACATAGAAGTCACTCAGTAACTCCCTGTCGAATGAAAGAAGCCGCCCGTCCAGGAGTCAGCAATCTAGCCTGCCCATCTGTTTACTTATACCCTGTAAGCAAAGATAGTTTTTACATTTCTAAATGGTTGGGGAAAAAATCAAGGGAGGAATAATATTTCATGACATAGTAAAATTACATAAAATTCAAATTCCCTTATCTATAAATTTTATTGGCACACATCCACATCTTTTCATTTGCATTTTGCCTGCGGCTATTTTCTTGTTACAACATCAGGGTTGAGTAGTTGTAAAAGGAACCTCGTGGCCCACAAATCCGAAAATAGCCAGATAGTAATGGCTGGCCATTTACAGAAAGTTTGCTGATCACTGGACTATGCTGTTGTCAGAGTGGCTATCATGAGATTATGTTCAATTCAGTTGTTCTCTGCCCTCACCAATTCCGTCACCATGGAATCCCCTACTGCTCCTCATCCCACTGGACCCAGAAACTTCTATACCATCACTGATAACATACATGATGATACAGAAGAAAACCCAATCCTAGGCCCCCCCAAAACCCCTTAAAATTGTCCCTTGACCCTCATAAAATTAAATTAATTTTGGCTCTCTTGGTAGAAATGCATAAGCTGAATTGTATATATTAAAGCTTAATGATAATACCTCCTGGTAATGATCAAATTTGGTACAACTTTAATCCATTTGGCTTCTATCCAAGAAGACCCATTAGAGAAAGAAAGTACCAGCTGAATTTCATTATAAAAATACTTTATATGTTATGTGTTCCTGAGACATGAACCCAGAGAGTGTTATGCTTTTAATTAAAGATTATCAGTTTGAAAAATCCCCTTCTCTTTCCCATCTGCTCTGTGCTAGTTGATTTCACTTGTCCACTAGGAGTTGAGTGACTACAAAAGAATCACAAAGTATTGGCAGATGGGCAGGGAGCCAGCACAGTCTGAGGGTGTCTGAGATCACAGCTATGTTGCCAATGAATCAGCAGTTCACACATAGTTCCACTGGATCCTGGTACAGTCACTGACAGTATGTAAAATGCAGCCTTCAATGGGGAGGAATGTAGGCACTGATAGAGAAAGCCTATGCATTTATTCTAAGGTTCTGAGTTATCTTCCTGCCTTCTCATCAGCAGAATCTGCTAGAAACAGGAGTTAATTTTTCTGCTTGCAAATGGAGGCACAAACTATTCCATTATTATTAACTCACTAATCTCTAGGCACCATGAGGATAGGGGCCAATTCCATCTTTTTCATGGCTCTTTGTATCCCCATCATAGGGGGATATAGCATAGTGTAGTGCTAAGCCAATATATCTTTCTTGACTAAAGAGATATCCCACACAGGCATTAGTATAGCTGGGTTTCCTTATAACTCTTTGCATCATGCAATTCTTTGCTATCTCTAGACAATATTTTGATATTATGGAGTCTTTTTTAATGCAGAGATAGATATAAATGTGTGGGAAAAAACTCCTTCAAAAAGTAAATGGGAGGGGGAAAGGGACAGTTGGGTAAAAAAATAATAAGAATCCAAGGTAATGTTACTCACTGGCCACTAGCTTATCGTCCATTATTATTCCAGTATAAATTAGTAAGATCAGCATTCACTAAGAACATAGAGAAAAAACAGGATTGCAAAAACCTTTAAAGATTTGAATCAAGTATCAAAATATAGGGAATAGGGTACTGCCAACAGGCCAAATCTACAGTCCTTTATTGGGAAACTATTGAGTAAACAAAAGGCACTTGAAAGGAGATGCTAAAACTGAGAAGAGAGCTTGTTTCAGAGAGTACTAAGACCCCAGTATTCATTTCCCCCTTTAGTCTTTTCATTACTCGCGTGCGCGCGCGCGCACACACACACACACACACACACACAGTTTTAGCAAAAACAATCCAACTTGCTAGATATTTTCTAGCTTTATATTTTCTTTCTTTGTTGTTAAGTGTGACCATATGTCTAAATTCTGGCCAAGGTGAGGTAGGCAGAGATGATATTTGCAAATTCTAAATCATCCCCTTAAAGGAAGCTGCTTATCCTCCAGCACGTCTTTCTCCTTCTTGTGTGCAAGAAAAAGGGCACAGTGCTGGCAATCTGATGTATTAGTCTGCAAGGACTGCCATAACAAAATACCACAGACTGGGTGGCTTAAACAACAAAACAACAGGAATTTATTTTCTCACATTTCTAGAGGCTAGAAATCCAAAATCAAGGTGCCATCACATTTTGTTTTCTTCTGTGGCCTCTCCTGCTGGTTTGCTGGTTTTGCTCTCTTCACATGGCCTCTTCTCTACACATACAGAGAAGAGAGAGCTCTGTGTCTCTTCCTCTTCTTATAAGGCCACCACTCCTATAGGATTAAGGCCTCACCCTCATGACCTCATTGAAAGTTTGCGACTTCCCTGTAGGCCTTATCTCCAAATACATTCCCATTTGGGGTTAGGGCTTCAGTATATGAATGGGGGAAGGGACGCAGTGACTGCCAGCTTCAAGGATGTCCCCTAAGGTGGTGGCAGAGCACTGTAATGGAAGACATTTGTCCTGGGTGATTTTCTGAAGTAGAGCCATGTGACCTCTTTGGACTGCCTACCCCTCTCTTGACTGTATGTGTCAGCCACTGGATTTCTGGATGCATTTGTTGCTGTAGCCATATCCTAACTAGTAAAGCTTAAAAGAGGAAATCCAAAATAAACTTTCTCTTGCTTCACAACTCTGTTTGGGGCAACTTTTTAAGAGAAAACAAAAAACTGAACAGGCCATCCATCCTCTTATCTGAATTTCTTCTTGAATGTGGTTTCACTTTATGCTTAATACTAATCTAATTATATCCAAATAGGCAAATGCTTAAATATCACAGTCTCATCTTTCACATAATAGCTCTCTAATCTGTGGCAGCCAGATTAATTTTAGTCTTTGTATTAGTCCATTTTTACAATATAAAGAACTACCTGAGACTGGGTAATTTATAAAGAGGTTTAATTGGCTCACAGTTCTGCATGGTTAGGGAGGCCTCAGGAAACCTACAATCATGGCAGAAGGTGAAGGGGAAGCCAGGCACATATTACATAGCATGGGAGAGACAGACGGAGAAGTAGGAAGCACCACACATTTATCAAACAACCAAATATCATGAGAACTCTATCAGAATAACAGCAAGGAGGAAGTCTGCCCCCATGACTCAATCACCTTCAATCAGGCCACTCCCCCAGCACATGGAAATTAAAATTAAAGATGAGATTTGGGTGGGGACACACAGCCAAACCATATCAGTCATACTTTGTAATAGATGTGAGGATACCAAAGGTAAAAATTCAGATATTGGTTTAATCATATTTCTACCAAATTCATGTTGCCAACTAGAAAGACAATGCTCATTTTATAAAGTATATATATTTATAAAAGTAGAATTTATGCATAAAATTTAAGCCTTACATGTTACTTACTTCTTCAGAATACTTAGCAAATAGGGAAGTACTGGGTTCCTTTTTGGGGTAATAAAATGGTCTCAAATTAGATGATGGCAATGGTTGGGAAACTCAGAACATATTAAAAACCAATGAACTGAATACTTCTTTTTCTTTCCAACTTTTATTCTAAGTTCAGGGGTACACATGGGTTGTTACATGGGTAAATTATGAACCACAGGGGTTTGGTGTACAGATTTTTTTATCACCCAGGTAGGAAGCATACTACCTGATAGGTATTTTTTGACCATCCCCCTCTTCCCAACTTCCACTCTCAAGTGGGACACTGTGTCTATTGTTTCTGTCTTTGTGTCCATGTATAATCAAAGTTTAGCTTAGTATAATGGCCTCCAGCTTCATCCATGTTGCTGCAAAGGACATAATTTTGTTTTTTTTAAATGACTGCATAGTATTCTGTGGTACGTGTGCCACATTTTCTTTATCCAGTCCACCGCTGATGGCATTTAGATTGGCTCCCTGTGTTTGCTATTGTGAATAGTGCTGCAATGAATGTACACATGTGTGTGTTTCTATAGTAGAATGATTTATATTTTGGGGGTTGTATGCCCAGTAATGGGATTTCTGGGTCAAATAATAGTTCTGTTTTCAGTTCTTTAAGAAATCTCCAAACTGCTTTCCATAGTGGCTGAACTAATTTACATTCCCACCAGCAGTGTCTAAGTGTTCCCTTTTCTCTGCAAGCCAGCATCTGTAATTTTTTAACTTTTTAATAGTAGCCATTCTGAATGGTGTGGGATGGTATCTCATTGCAGTTTTGATTTGCATTTCTCTAATGGTTAGTGATGCTGAGCATTTTTTATATGCTTGTTGGCCATATGTCTTCTTTTGAGAAGTGTCTTGAACTGTACACTTTAAATAGGTGAATTATATAGAATGTACATTGTATCTCAATAAGGTTTCTAAGAAAAACGTGGGGAAATTGGGAGGTGCATGGTCAAATACATTGAGTTATCTTAAATACTATATCCACCCTTGGAAAATTTTTGAAGGCTATAAGATATCTGCCTTAAAAATATAACTTTTAATATTTATGTAACTTGCTATAGTTGGAATATTTGTCCCTTCCAAAATGCATGATGAAATTTAACCCCGAGTGTAGAAATATTGAAAGGAAGCGCATTTAAGAGGTGATAGAGTCATGAGGGCTCTGCCCCCGTGAGTTAATGGATTAACGAGTTCTCATGCAAGTGGCACTCTAAGAGGGGAAAGAGACATGTGAGTATTCCTGGCCCCTTTGTCATGTGAGGCACTGCATCACCTTGGGACTCTGCAGAGCGTCTCCACCAGCAAGAATGCTCTCACTAGATTCAGCACCTTGACCTTGGACTTCTCAACCTCCATAACTGTAAGAAGTAAGTTCCTTTTTTAAATAAATTACTTAGTTGCAGGTATTCTGTTAAAAGCAACAGAAAACAGACTATGACGTAACTATATAGCATTGACTATTCAAGGTCTTAAAGTTATTTAACCTTGAATCATGTTATTGCATAATCTTTTGCAGCAGAGTTGTATTCCTAGCTATAAATAATTGAATACTCTGAATTCCTGCTATCCTGGTTTAAACAGAAAGGGGTATAAATGTTTCACACAACAAAGGCCAATGGTAGAAGGTTCTGGGCTGGCACAGCCGCTCAGTAAGACAATCAGTGAGACTCTTTCCATCTTCTACTCCACTGTTCTCAGCATGTAGTATTTTGTCATTTGGTTTGGTGACCCAGGTACCTATTTCCCTACTTTGCCCTCTAAGCATGAAGAAGAGATAAGTATTTTGCAGGAGATTCCACTTACCCTCCTTATACAGAGCTCTGTCATGTGGTCTCTCCTAACTGAAACAGACTGAGGAATCTAGAATTCAAGCTTTCCAGGCTGTATTCTATTAGAAGAAAACAGAGAAGATGACTGTTAATGGCTTTTGATTCTGTAATTCAGAATCTGTAAGCCACCCTTTTAACTATTTAATATATATGTGTTGTATGTGTGTGTATATATATATATATGTTTATATTTATATATGTATGTATAACTATCTATATGTGTATCTTTCTCACTTCTGCCTCAATTCACTTAATACTTTTTAACATATGTGTGTTGTATATATATGTGTGTATGTGTATGTGTGTGTATCCTTATCTCTTCCCCCTCAATTCACTCTAAATGAAATGCACTTACTCTATCCCACAGGACACAGTTCCCAGGTCACACCCATTAACCATGTCCATCCTGAAGTCCAGAATTCCATGTGATGTGCAGCCTTCAGCATTAATATAACTAATAATTAACAAGTTATTTGACTTCAATCAATCCCCAACAAGACTCCTTCAGGTGCAAATTCCCATCTTATTATCAGATTAAGTAATGATTAGTGCTGATTACCAAGTATGATGATACATATGCAAATTTTCATGGGGCAGCTTCTAATATACGAAGTGGACAGAATGCACAGTATCTATGTATATACATATGTGTTTATATACACACACACACACACACATTTTCCTTACTAATTTTAAAATCTAGTTTATGTCAATTTGCTCCTCAGTTCTACAAGGTACCCCAAATCCAAACAAACAACAACAACAACAACAAAAAAAACAGAATTAAAGTGGAAATTAGAGCTTGAAGGAAGACAAGTTGAGTGAAAAACTTTCCAGCCTTACAACTACATTTTGTGGATAAACATGTGTAAAGAACACTAAGAAAGCCAAGTCAGCCTTTGCTCTGGTATACAGTCATTCTGGCAAAGCCCAGTAACTTTGAGTATTTGGAAGAGGCATCTTCTGGCATGATGGGAGGACTAGAGCATGATGAAAACTAGAGCAACAGCATGCCCAATGTTGTACCTCCCAGAAGTTACCAGGTTAGAGAGGCAGTCTCAGGAAGAAAATAGATACGTGGTGATGGGGGTCTCAAACCTACGTAATCTATTTTCTGCCTCCATTCGGATGACTCACACAGTGGACACACACACACACACACACAAACACACACACACACTCCTTGTTTTTGTTTGCTGTTTTCCTAGGGGGGTTTGTATTAAAAATGGAGATGAATGTTATGACTTTCACTAAACCAATTGGTTTAATTGATCTCTTATATAGTTATTCTGAATTTGATATCTCTGAATGAGTGAAATTTTTAAGTCTTTAGGGGAGATTCTTAGGATGATTTGTAGGAACTGTTATAATTCATATCTTTTTACCTATTCAGTTTGCCTTAACCTGTATGTTGATCCTTTTTTAAAGTTCCCTGAAGTGTTGGTGAAAGTCAAGGTGGAGACATCTTAAACATTTCATAATTTCTATGGTTCACTTTATACTGAATTCCTCTTCAGTCTTCTACAGCTATACAGAACAATAGATTATTATTTTTCTTGATCTGTGGATACAGTTAAACTTTTCTCTTGGCTAACTAATCCAAGTTTCTTTGTTTAAACTTCCCTATTTCTCAACCCTTTAACAGCTCTCATTGAGGTCCTCAGTTGATATAAATAGTCATTTTCACTTTTTTTCTCTGCATGACTATTTGAAATAGTATTTCTAAGAAAAAATTAACATCACTTTAAATGATTTTACACTATGTGCATTATAGGGTCTGAAGAAATATACTCCCAAGATTCAAAAAGACTAGTGATTACTTTTGAAAACTTAGGCTAAACTAAGTAGCTCCAGAAAATGGAATGAAATAAAACATGTAGGTTTTATTTGTCAGAACAAAATGATTTGCCGTGATAATTACAATTTGATAAGTCTATTGTGAGGCCCCTGGAGAGGGAAAAGAAACCCTACAGCTTATATTGGATAATAGAAACAAGAGCAATAAGCAGCATGGGATTTTATAGGGGGTCAAAGTCACTCAAACCCAAAGCCTTCCTTTCTTTAACAAAATTACAAAACTAGTAGACGAAGAAAAAGTATTTAGTTTAATGCACCTTTTTAGTCAGCTATAAAGCTTTCAATAAAGTTTTACCTCAAAATGAAATTCAAATTATCTTATGAAAAATAAGTATAACTGAAAACTTTTACCTAATAAAGTGCCCACCAAAGCTTCTGAAGCCTAATATCAAGCAAAGAAATATGAAAGTGGGCTTCCTTTACCGTTAACAGGCTACCTGCCCCACACCTTCAGGCTACTTCTCCCCCAGTGCTTTCCCTTCAAAAACCAGAGCTTTATTCTTTGGAGGAGAAAACACTAGAAGTGTTACAAAGTCCAGGATACCAGGCATACTGGAGAGTAGAGATGATTGTGGGTAGGGTTTAGAGTTCACGTGAAGCATGGTAAACCACTGCAGCTCTCTCCCCCAGCCTCCCAGAGTGCCTGCAGCCAATCTCACACCCATCTACCCCTCCCACCTGCTCTCAAAAGATATCAAGAATTCTTCTCTGGAGAAAATAAAGAAGTTCAACAAAAAGATACATGGGCTCTGACATTCAGAGATATCCTCACATAAGTAGTCATGTTGAAAGTCTTTTCCAAATACCAAGAGATTTCAACTAGTTGTTTGCATGGTGTTTTTAAATTTGTAATTGCATCTTACTGTCAGTATGATGAACAGCTAAGGAACCCCCAATATTTAAATAAAGTCTCCAATATAAAATACAGAGCCCCACAAAATAGAGAATAAACTGGGAAAAAAAGACAGTATAAGGCACAAAAGAAAACTCTATTTTTAAAATTATAAACATTATTATTATTATCATCTTGATTGATGAGGGAAGATATGCACCTATAAGGAATGGGGTATTATAAGAAGAAATAATCAATAAACAAGAAAGATTTATTAGAATTCAACATAGAATTACTAGAAAAAATATCAGAAGGTTTGGATGATAGTATCAAGGAAATGTACCAGAAAATAGACAATAGTAAATGATAAAAAACAGTAGGAGAAGAAAAAAATAGAGAATAAACCAAAGAGATACAAAACCCAAAACTAAAGAATAAAATAGATGTGACAAAATTATCAAAAATCAATTTAAGAACATTTCCTAGAGCTGAAGGACATATGTCTCTAAATGGAAAGAGTTCACTGAGGGCTAAGCACAATGAAGAAAGACCCTCCAAGGCAGATTGTCATGAACTTTCAGGAATAGGGGGGTTAAAATAAGATTCGAAGAATGTTTTTAGAAGTAGATGTGAGTCATGGAGAAATGCTTAGAAGTAAGAATTGTATTGGAATAATTAAAAACAACTGTGAGTTCCAGAAGAATATGACTCAATGTCTAGAAATTTTATTATAAAGTGACTTCCAAATTATCAATCATATATGAGGATAGCATAGAGACATATCTGGATATTCATTGTCTAAAATAGATCAGTATGTCTCCTGTGCACTCTTTCTTAGGAAGATAATAGACGATATGCTTTGAGAATACCTGAGAAAAAAGCAAGGAGGAAGATTCAAGAATCAAGGGCTCAGATTCAAGAATCAAGGGTTCAAATACAAGATGCCAACAAAGGCAGGGACCAGTATAGTCAAGTGTGCACCACCAAAACAGAGCATAGATCACAGGAAGAGATGAAGGGCTGGTGGAGGGAGAAGGTGGAAGTTGCTTAGGATTATGTTTCAAAACTTAGAAAAAAATTCAGATCAACACGATATATTTTTGGAATATTTATTTTAATAAATTTATTTTGAAAAATATAGAAAACATAAAAAATACTTCTAGAAAAACAAGCAAACAACTGAGGCAACATTAAATCTAGAAAAAAAGGCATTATTGGAAAGGAACTATAATTATAATTTATCCTTTGGCCCCAAAGTGAAAAATGTTTATGTAATAGTATTTATATAAACACTCACTATTACCTTAGCCAAAAATGTATAATTTAATTATAATGACAGAGTGGGAGAGAGGATGAAGGTGGGAAGTATTAGAGAGAGGTTAAACCTATACTTCAAAAACAAAATGTCAATATATTATTTATATAAGGTGAAATAGAAATCAAGAAATCAAGAAAAATCAAAGAAATACACATATCTGATATGATTTGGATCTGTGTCCCCAGCCAAATCTCAGGTTGAATTGTAATCCCCAATGTTGGAGGTAAGGCCTTGTGGGAGGTGATTGGATCATGGGGATGGATTTCTCATGATTGGTTTAGCACCATCCTCTTGGTACTATTCTCATGATAGTGAGTGAATTCTCAGGAGATCTGATTGTTTAAAATTGTGTGTAGCACCTCCTCCCTCACTCACTCTCTTGTTCCTGCTCCCTCTTCACCTTCTGCCATGATTGTAAGTTTTCTGAGGTTTCCCCAGAAGCTGAGCAGATGCCAGTATCATGCTTCCTATATAGCCTGCAGAACTGTGAGCCAATTAAATTCCTTTTCTTTACAAATTACCCAGTCTAGTGTATTTCTTTATATCAATGTAAGAACAGACTAATATAATACATTTTTATATGTAAGAAAAAAGATATATTTGTCTAAATAAATAAATGTTAATATCAGAGGAAACACCTTAGAAACATTGAAAGTACTTGGCTTTGCTGAGTAGAATAGTTAGGGATTATGGTAAGACAAGCTGTATTGTGGCATAAGCCTTTTAGCAATACATACATGTATTATTTTCTGAAAAGTTTAACACAATAAAATAAATAAATGCTAATAGAAAGAAGTCACTGGAGAAGATTACACTGAGTTCTTTTGAATCAGGCAATCTAACTGGCTAGATTATTTTGTGGCCTTTATCTTTTGACTGCTCAGTATTTTCTTATTTCTGGGAACTGGCCATTAATTAGAACCCTCTGGACACGTTTAGACTTACCTGAAGTTACAATATGTACATAGATTAAGTCACAATTTATAAAGTGCTCTTTATAAATATGATGTAATTGTATTAGCTGTATGCACAAAGTTTTATCACGTTTAAGTTGGTTTTCTCGAGTGGTTTTGTTTGGCATGTATAGAAGTACAAACCCCACTTAAAAATTAAAGCCACATAAAATATCTGCAAGTATTAAAGAAGTATCTTTTTCACCTAAAAGTTTATGTCTTTATGTTTTAATGGCCTCACATCTCTACCCAAGACTTTGTTATTCAAATTTTCTTCCTTGTTTTTGGTTCCCTCTTTTTTTTTTGGCCCACATGGTAACTCTAAATTTTTTCCAGTCCCTCTGGCTCTTTAGGACTTCATATGGCTACTGAGAGCAACCACTGCTAAAAGAGGCTAACTTGGAAGGAGTCATGAGAAATTCAACAATGCTCTAGTTACTGCAAGCTCTGAAAGGCACTATTGGCTCTGAGACCTCATGAAGGTAAGGTTCACAGAAATAATTTGAGTTGAATATGGACCACGACTGTTAGACATTCAGGTTATACTGACATCTGCAGGAGTTAAAAAAGAAAAGAAAATTTAGTAAATTTGTGGAAAATCAGTCACTCATTATTGATCCTTTGGTTAAACATGAGAATTTTCACAAATAATTGCATGATACAGTGCAAAATTTAACACACAAGCAGCTGGTCTATTCATACAAGTCAATATGGGGAGGGCAAAGTGTTTACTTGGCAGGCACAGTAAAATGGTAACCAAAAAAAGAGAAAAAAAGTTTGGCACAATTTTTTCACTTTTCAGTTTTGCTGCATTCTCGGTTCAGACATTGTAAAAATAAACTGCTTTACCTCCTTTTTTGGAAATACCTGTTTTGTGTTATTTTTGATGACTTAAAAGAGATCATACCATTCTGAATTTCACAGTGACCGACCCATGTATTTGTAACACGGTGATGCTCTTTTATTTCAGGAAGCAGCCAAAAGCAATTAAGGAAGACTGTATTCATCACAGCAGAACACACCCTGTTAAACTAATTGGAAATTACATACTACAATCTTGGCAAAATCTACCAACTATGAAGAGATGTCACCATCTTAATAATTCTATGATAGCCATAGGAGGACAAACAGTTGTTGTTGACAAGTGTTTGATCTTCATAAGTCTGCTGCTGTGACAAACTACAAACTATATTTTATCCTCTACTTCTGTGATCCTTCACCCAGATAAGAACCAACACCTGGCATCTTTTCAAATTTTCTTTTTTTTTTCCTTTTACATCAGTGGCAAAAGTTAAAAAGGTAACATGAAAAGAAAGATGAAACAGGAATACTGTTCAAATTGAAGGACTGTAGTTTCAAGTTTCAATCCTGTATCAAAACATCTCCGCCTTATCTTCTTTTCCAGTCATCACAAATGATGAGTACAAAGAGGTACACAAACATCAGTACAATGCTGCGTGTGTACTGCAATCCAAAAATCACAGCTACAAAATTATACCTGACATATCAAAAACTGACACTCACATCCTCAAGATTTCCTCCTCTCATTCCCATGGACCTTCTTTATTAATAAATCTGACACATAAAAAGCATCTATATGACTAAAGTGTCAGTTACTGGAAAGACCGTTTTGATCTATTTCTCAACTTTTAAAAGAAATATTCTCTTTTTCATGAATACAGGATCCATTCACTGACTGCCGGCTTTCAAATGACCACCTCTTGAAGTTTAATTTTAAGTTTTAAATAAATATTGTATGCATGCAGAATAATTACGATGCTCTAGAGAGATACTGTATAATGACATTGATTCTTTTTTATCTGAAAATGCCAAGCCCTTAAGGCAGCAAAGTCTGCATTTGCCACAGACGTGGGAAGGTTCCTTGCATGTGTTAAATTTCAGAAGGGGCATGCGTGGCACTTTCATTAAGATGCTACCGGTATTTCCTGAGTAAACTCTAATTTTCATGAGTTTAGAACTTCTTTTCTTTAGGTTCATGTGATCTAACCTACCAAGTGGAACTCACTGGCCTTCAAATGTATGTTTTACACATATAACTTTTTAGTGAATCAAAAATTTCTTCATTCTAGAAATGAAAAAGCCTAATAAAATCTTGTTTGTAGATGTATGAAAATCCTTTTTCATGTTGCATAGTATTTTACATGACAAGTAACTATTGCTTTTTACAGACTAAAATATTTGTTAGGTTTCTGTCTATATATGGTATCACAGTTTCATACCAAATGCCATTAGTGGATACTATCATGTATCTTTTTCACATATTCAGAAATATGATGAGAATAAGTCAAGGTACAGAGACAGAAATCAGCATTATGTCTTGTCTTTTGTGTCCTCTGTCAGGGTTCCTTAAAAAATTGTGTTCTTCTTCTAAATATATCCCACTCATGACTTAGCAACCATACACATACACTAGGAAATAATAATGCTGCAATAAAGATGTGTTCAGATTCAAGAACTTTTCTAAATGTGTTGGCTCATTAAAATTTGTTGGTGTATTCAGATCAAAAATAGCCTAGTAGAAATATTTTTTGTCAATTGTTTAACAGACAAACTTTATTTGACACATGGCCTTCTCTGATGTGATTTTGACCAATAGCTTGTTATGGCTGAAACTTTCCAATCCATCATCAAGTCTCATTGCTTTACCCTCAACATATTTCTCAAGTCTGTTTGTTGCTCATCAGCTCCACCACTACCATCCTGGTCCAGCCTTGACTATCTATCACCTGGACTACAGTTGTAGCCTCCTCATTGTTCTTCCTGTTTCCAATCTTGCTCCATTACAGTCACAGTTCTGCATGGAAGCCTGAATTAATTTCTCATAAAATAGAAACCAGATATTTTCACTCTCTACTCACAGCCATCCAATGGATTCAGGTTAGACTTAGACTGGAATAAAACCCACACTGCTCTCTCCAGCCACCAAACCACTGTAATATTCACCTCAGGCATATTCTTCAACAGCAGCTCCCACCATCTTCCCTTCCTTCACTCTGCTCCAGCCTATGCTGCATTTATTTCCCTCAATAAGGGAAGGGATTCTTGCCTTAGAGAATATGAACTTGCTGATCCTTCTGACTTGAGTCTTTTTCTCCCGTATTTTTCCATGACTCCTTCCTTTCTCCCCTTCAAAAAAGAATTATTCTCTGACTACCTTTTCCAAAATAGATACTCTTCACATTCTGTCTCCTTTTCTGCTTTCTTTTTCTTCGTTATGTATATTGCTATCTGAAATAAGGATATATTTATTTGTGTATGTGTTTATGCTGAGTTTTGACTACTGTAAAATCCGTGATACCTTGATGTTTTCTGTCTTGTTTGTTGCTACTTCCCAGCATCTAAAATAAAATAGTACCTGAACAATGAAAATAAAGGCATGGATATGTGAATAAATGTAGGGAGGGTAAATGGCTGATCTTTGGATTCATATATTTTTTCAGCCATTTTTAGTTTACCCTGATCCATGTTTAAAAAAATCATTTGTCCATGTCCATGAGCATTAGTATATCATCTCAAACTTTTAATTGTCACATTTGTAGCTCTCTGCTGTACCTACGACACTTACTGCAGGTGCTTTTTTCAACTTTGTACATAGGGGCAATATTCTACACACTGAAAATGCTACAGTCTATTGAAGATATATGTGTAGGGATTGAACATTTCAGAGCATGAACATACTGTAATTAATGCAAAAATTCTGATTTTGGATTTTTCTTCTGAGCTCTATAATTATATATGCAACTGACGTCTGAAATCTTTTCATGTATATCTTGGAGGCACATCAATTTCATCATGTCCAAAACTGAACTCATTATTTCCTCCCAGACCTTTATTCCCTTGTATTGTTTTTCATTTTAGTAAAAGATACCACAGTCCAATAAGTCCTCAAGTGTAAGACACGGTGATCATCCTACTATTTATTCCCTCTATTTATCTCCCCAGCCCCAACCTCAAGTCACTGTTTGTTCTGGAGTTTCCACCCTTCTCTTGAGCTCCCCTGCCACTGTCTCAGCTGAGGACCTCATCTTCTGGGGTAATGTAGCTTTCTGTTTTCTCCCTATCCTTTCTGATATGTACTAATACTTTCTAATGTTTACTAATATTCACTCTATCTGTAAACACAGTGTCTTTTTAAAATGTAAAACTGACTGCATTACCACCTGCTTTGAATACTTCAATCTTTCCCAGGGTCCAGAAGTCCGAATTACTCAGCTAGGTCTTAACGGCCTCTGCTCTCTACCTCCAACTGACTTCATCTCCCGCTGTATCCCCTAAAACTTCTCTTCATCCAAGTGGACAATGTGGTTTTCTGAAGACACTGCTCTTCCAAACCCCATGCCACTGCTCATGCTTTCTTCCTTCCTGAAGTAATCTTGCCCTTTTTATATCACTACTACCACTAATTCTTCGGAATACCCTTAAAGGATTTTGTCTCTTTGAATTATATTTCTGCATTTCTCAGTATGTTCCCAATCCATTCCCTGCCCCACAGAACTGAGTATTCTCTTCTTTGGGTACATTACTCTTATTATAATTGTTCATATTATACTGATTATAATTATGAAATTAGGTACCTCTCTAACAAGTGTTGAATAAATATTTGCTGCGTTAATAAATGAGTGAAAAAATGTATATTCTATTTTCATGTACTTTAGTGAGTTTGGAATTTTTGGCAACTGATAAAAATATACATTTTAAAAATACTTATTAATTAAATCACATAAGTATAAAATCTGAGTATTATATTTTTCTTGATTTCTTTAATAAAAATAAATCCAGTATAATTATTCATACTTAAGCTCTCTACATTTCATTTTTTTCTTTTGAACATCCCTTTCTCATTCATTTTGTATTCACTGAGTTAATGCTGATTATAATTAATTGTTTTGATCATCATGTAGATGTCATATGGACTTTTATAGTCATTCTATTATAATTAAACATACATTAATGGACATTTAAAACATGCCACCCTTTTTTAATAAAGCTCATATCTGTGGCCCACTGCTGGTGAAATGATCCAATAATATATCAGAACAGTAGTTTGTAATTTTGATAGAGAACACATTTGGCTTTCAAGTTTTTAAATCAAGGCCATTTTCCAGTTGGTTGAGTACCAAGTGCATTGCACAGATTCTCTTTACATATAAAAGTATTATCTATTGTCATGGGCAGGTTTAAGTGTAGTGCTAAGGGCAGCCTAACTAGATTAACTACTGAGTTATTGTCCAGGCACATATTTTAAAATTGTGTTAAATTGCTATCGGAAAATATAAATTAGTAATTTAAAATATTTGTTATTCCACTGTCAATAAATTTTATTTCCAACTTGACCCTTGGAATTCTGTGTATGTGTATGGTTTGGCTTTTTTAATGTTATCTTATTGCTACCAGGGAGACTAATTTGACATTTGTTCAAAAATTATTCGTATGTTCTATTTCAAGGTTTTCTATTGGTATCTCAGACTAGTCTAAGATCCCATAGAGGTGTTTCATGTTTCAGATTTCAACCACAGAGCCTTCATTTGTGTCTGTTTTATATTTAGAGAATCTATTTAAAGTGTTTTTGGAAATAAAAAGGCAGAAGGATTCTGCAACTAGATGAAGTTTCCAAACTATTGCCCTATTGTTTGACAGTCATCACTTCACAAAATTTTGGAAGGAGTATATTGACTTGTTACAATGATACATTTCATATTGTAAACTCCTCTTTTCTTTAGTAAAGATGTCTTATCGTTTATTTTAGATCATTTAGTAAATACAATCATCACTTTTGTAGAATTGATATAACACAGAGGTTGCTAGCGTCCAAACCCAGCCCTTTCCTTCCTTTGGGAGAATGAAGTTACCTAACCAGTTTTCTTCAATTGTTATATTGAGAAGTTTTGGTGTAAAGGTATTCTTAGAGAATAGGAAGAAATCACAATTATTGAGTACATTCAACATTTAATTTCAGAAAAAAATCTACATTAAGCAAAATCTGTATCTAAAGAAGTAAAACCCCATTGTATCACAGGGCCAGACAGTGTGCTTTTTATTTCTTTCATATATGCCCCACTGATTTGGCTCATGATGGCTGAGGTTGACATTACTGTGAAACAAGTATGTGTACCATTTGACAGAATCACTCTTCCCCATTCTATAATCCTTACATACTTTGTTGACTAGTAAGTTTGAGTAGTTTCAATTGCTGATGCTTTAAAAGAAGCACTATGAGTTTAAACATTAGAAAAACTGATTTTATAGATAAATCAATAAATGATAGAGATAATTTATCTACTTACTATTATCTATATATAGATTATACAGAATGAAAGATGTCCTCATTATACATTTCAGGGGATCTATTAATAGCTATACTTCATGAAGTGGTAAATAGCACAGCAGAAAGAATAAAGTTGCTGAAGTTAGACAGACTTACTTCTGATGACATAATTTCTATGAGACTTTGGACAGCTTCTCTAACTCTCTGAGCACTGGTTTCCTCATCAATGAAAAAAATAGACAATAAGGCATTCTTGTGAGCATTCAATAAGTTTATCTATTTAAAGAATCTGTTATGGTCTGGGTATGAATTTAGTGCTAAATAAGTTTGGTGAAGCCAATGTGGGGTTGGTTAGTAATTGTGGAACCACATCATAATGATGAGAAGTTGTCTAATTGAAACCTGGCTTGACAAGAGCATACAAATTTTCAATTTGTTGATCAATGTATTAAGCATCCTATTAAGCCAAAAGTAGAAAACCACATAGTTTCAAGAGAAACTTAGTATTAAAATACCCCAAAATATTTATTTCTGATTATAGAATATTCAGATTATGTATTTATTTCTTCAAAATGTGACAAATATACTATAAATACATTTTTTACTAGCTATTGCCAAAGTCCAATTAAAAATATTTTATATGCTTTTCTGTATATTATAATTTTTTTATAAAACTCAGAAAACAACCTTCGTGAAGTCATTTAATTTCTTGAAATCCTGTTGAAATTGAAACACTGACATGATCTTTCCAGTGTGAACCTAGAGGGACCACTCTAAAACTAAGATAGCTGAAAATGACCATACTGCCCAAGGTAATTTATAGATTCAATGTCATCCCCATCAAGCTACCAATGACTTTCTTCACAGAATTGGAAAAAACTACTTTAAAATTCATATGGAACCAAAAAAGAGCCCACATTGCCAAGACAATCCTAAGCAAAAAGAACAAAGCTAGAAGTATCTCGCTATCTGACTTCAAACTATGCTACAAGGCTACGGCAACCAAAACAGCACGGTACTGGTACCAAAACAGAGATATAGACCAATGGAACAGAACAGAGCCCTCAGAAATAATACCACACATCTACAACCATCTGATCTTTGACAAACCTGACAAAAACAAGAAATGGGGAAAGGATTCCCTATTTAATAAATGGTGCTGGGAAAACTGGCTAGCCATATGGAGAAAGCTGAAACTGGATTCCTTCCTTACACCTTATACAAAAATTAATTCAAGATGGATTAAAGACTTAAATGTTAGACCTAAAACCATAAAAACCCTAGAAGAAACCTAGGCAATACCATTCAGGACATAGGCATGGGCAAGGACTTCATGACTAAAACACCAAAAGCAATGGCAACAAAAGCCAAAATTGACAAATGGGATGTAATTAAACTAAAGAGCTTCTGCACAGCAAAAGAAACTACCATCAGAGTGAACAGGTAACCTACAGAATGGGAGAAAACTTTTACAATCTACCCATCTGACAAAGGGCTAATATCCAGAATCTACAATGAACTCAAACAAATTTACAAGAAAAAAATCAAACAACCCCATCAAAAAGTGGGCAAAGGATATGAACAGACACTTCTTAAAAGAAGACAACTATGCAGCCAACAGACACATGAAAAAACGCTCATCATCACTGGCCATCAGAGAAATGCAAATCAAAACCACAATAAGATACCATCTCACATCAGTTAGAATGGCGATCATTAAAAAGTCAGGAAACAAGAGGTGCTGGAGAGGATGTGGAGAAATAGGAACACTTTTACACTGTTGGTGGGACTGTCAACTAGTTCAACCATTGTGGAAGACAGTGTGGCGATTCCTCAAGGATCTAGAACTAGAAATACCATTTGACCCAGCCATCCCATTACTGGGTATATACCCAAAGGATTATAAATGATGCTACTATAAAGATACATGCACATGTATGTTTATTGTGGCACTATTCACAATAGCAAAGATCTGGAACCAACCCAAATGTCCATCAATGATAGACTGGATTAAGAAAATGTGGCACATATACATCATGGAATACTATGCAGCCATAAAAACTGATGAGTTCATGTCCTTTGTAGGGACATGGATGAAGCTGGAAACCATCATTCTGAGCAAACTATCCCAAGGACAGTAAACCAAACACCACATGTTCTCCCTCACAGGTGGGAACTGAACAATGAGAACACTTGGACACAGGGTGGAGAACATCACACACCAGGGCCTTTCATGGGGTTGGGGGAGTGGGGAGGGATAGCATTAGGAGATATACCTAATGTAAATGATGAGTTAATGGGTGCAGCACACCAACATGGCACATGTATACATATGTAACAAACCTGCACGTTGTGCACATGTACCCTAGAACTTAAAGTATAATAAAAAAACCAAGATAGCATATTTATGTTTATGATGGTGTGTTTGAAGTCTCCAGTACTTTTCCTAAATTTTGAACCCAATCCCTAGTTGATCTATGATGCTTAATTTTTAAAACAAAAATGCCCACAAAAATGCTTACTGATAAGCAAGACCATTTCGGAATGAAAACAGAAATCACAACAATCAGCTAGAGAATGTGCTAGTTCTTGAGAGAGGTAAGCAATGTTTCCAAATCCAATGATTCTCTCTGTTCAGTTATCCAGGGCCCACACCAAAGTGATCCTCAATAATATTTTCTCAACAAGCTCTATTAAATGTGCTATTCCACAATCAGCTATACTTTCTCCTCCTCTCAATCACAACCTAATTCTCCTGAGACTTGTTTTTTTTTTTTCATGGATTGTGTAAGTTACCAGTAACAACTAACTAAAATCTGAATTTGTTTATGTGATTCTTTTCGCACACAACACAGCATGCTGAATCTGGAAATGGCCAGTGTTTTCAGCATTAGTCTTCATTAAAGTCTCATTGTTAAAATAGTTTATAGCAAGCCCAAAATTTGAGAAGTCTTCAATAATAATAACAAAACCACCTTTTGCTGGTTTGAATCAGATCTTTAATAAGACACAGGTGAAACTTCTCCCATGCTCCCAGTATCCTCTCTTGTATAAGAATCATAGGACACTCTTTCTCCAGCCTCCCACACTCCTTAAATATACCCAGTCATCTGGGAAAGTGTCCGCTAGAAAGAGGAAGATGACCGGTCAAATAGTAAAATCATAATAAGGGTAATAAGATTAAATTTGAGGTATATCTTCAAGGATCATTTAGATTTTAGTATAGTTAAAGGCTTTATGAAGGACTAAATGGTTTGTCAGTTTACATTTCCCCCATATGAAAATATAACCTTAAAAACACTCACCCTAAAAATTGCTATCTTTTCTCCAGGTAGTCCTTAGTTATCTTCGTCAACTCATGAAAAAAAATCAGAATAATTGGTTACCTGAATAAAGATCACTTATTTCATCTCATGTATTTTTACTACTAATTAAGATTATTGTTCTTTCAGATTTTACTCTATTAAGAATTAATTCTGCCAAGTGCAGTGGCTCATAACAGTGATCCCAGCACTTTGGAAAGCTAAGGCTGCAAAATCGCTGGGGGCAGGAATTTGAGACCAGCATGGGCTACATAGTGAGATTCCATCTCTACAAATTAAAAAAAAAAAAAAAATTAGCCAGGCATGGTGGCCCACGCCTGTAGTCCCAGCTACTAAGGAGGCTGAGGCCGGAGGATTGCTTGATCCCAGGAGTTCCAGGCTGCAGTAAGCTGTGATTGTACCATTGCACTCCAGCCTGGGCAACAGAGCGAGACCTTGTCAAACACAAAAAAAAGAATTGTCTACCAACTTTCTTCTACATAAAAAGGCTTGAAAAATTGTTTCCTAAGAACCATCTCTTTTTATTGTACTTCCAAAGAATTCATGTTCATTGTGGAAATACTTAGCAAAGAACACTGAAGAAGGAGGGAAATGTAAGTTGCTTCCAAAAAAGGAATTATAGCTTCTCTGTACATTAAGTATCTCAGTTTTAAAAGTAAAGTTATGCTGAAAACAGAATAAACATTAGAATCATCTAGCCCAGGACTTTAATAGATTTTCTGCCTACTAGTAGTATGACTTGCAAAGGGTATGTTTAACTTCTATGCTTCCTTAATTTCCACATCTATAAAATAGGAATAAAAATAACTATTTCTCAGGGGTTCCAATAAGCACTGAAGATGATAATATGCCTGGCATGTCATAAGCAATTCATAAATGTCAGTTGATTCTCACTCTTACCCTCTCAAGTCTAATGCTAATTAATTGACAATTAAGTACATCTAATGTTTAAATTTGCAAAGGAGTTTAATATTTTTCAGTTACAAGTTGAAATTACAATGCATAAATGTTTTATGACTGATTTAATATCAATCAAAATATTCTAACAATTAGATTCCCATGGTGACAAGATCTTATTTTAGATGTCTTTTTAACTATTACAGAGCATATGTATGGAAAAATATTCCTAAACTTTAATTATATTTGCTTAATTTAGATGAATTTATGCTGTAACTGCTTCAATTTTGGCCTTTTGTCTGGATTACTTAATAACCTCCTGAAAGGTTTCCTTATTTCATCCTCTGTACTGCAGCCAGTGATTATCCTAAGACATATGATCACCTCTCCACTGTGCACAAAAATCTTCTATGGCTACACACTACCCAAAGATTAGGGTCCAAACCTGGCATTTCAGAAAGTGACTTTTCACCCTTCCCCTCCTGTCTAACTTACCTACCCCTCTTAGGTACCCACATTCTTCTACACAGTTACAGCAATGAAAACAACTGAATACCTACATTGACCTATTCACAATGCTGCAAACTCAGTATGCTGTGATCCTTATTTCTAATACTATTGTACAAGCAGTTCCTATGATATAAAAGTTCTCTTTTGCATATACACCCACCACCATCATCAGCCAGCTACATTTCTGTCCATGGAAAACTTATTAAGGATATTTAAATCTTATAGGTTTAAATAAGGTTCTGTGCCCATTGAAGACCAAGCAAGCTCTCAAATTAACCCTCTCACAGACAACAACTATTAACTTTGGACACACAAAAATAAACAGCCAACTACCCAAAGGCATGGAAGAGTAACCAAAAGCAGGCAAAGTCTGAAGGGCATTGGCTCTTGGGGGAAGAGAACAGCAGCTGCTGAGTTTCTTATTTTTATAGCTGCCAGCCAGAGGATAAGCTCCAGTCTGTAGCATGCAGATGCTAAAATTCTGACAGAAAAATGCACAGGAATTATGGTTTAGAACCACAATATAGAGTTCAGTGTAGCCACATGCAATCAAAAATTAGAGGGAATTCAGGAAAGAAGCCAAGCAAGAGAAAATGGGACTCTAATTCTCTGTGTATACTCTGAGCAAATCTCTGTCTGGCTGAATCGTAAACAAATTATTCAATGGGCAAACTCAAGAAGTCTAGCTAAGGCTAAAGAAACAGAACTGAGATGTAAGCTGATGTTCAAGAGACTGAGTTTGTAGTTTGAGTCCAAAAAAGTTCATAGCGTGCAAAACCAGAGAAAAATTATCGATATTCTTTGGAGGAATATAATCAAATCCAGAATCTCCAAAACATAACCTTCATAATATCCACAATATAACTAAAAATTACTTGCATATAAATAGGAAAATATGACCCATTTTCCAAAGAAAAGCCATTTTCTAAAGACTGATCCTGAGATAACCCTTATGTTGGAATTACCAGATAGGATTTTAAATCAGCCATCAATGCACTGTTCAGTAACATAAAGAAAAATCTGTCCACATGAATTAAAATATAAACAAATCTTTCCAGTAGAGAGATGTTATTAGTAAAACACCAAATGGAAGGTTTTAAACTATAAAATAAAATATAGGAAATCAATCACGTACTTCCAGAAAACATTCCTAGATCCCCCTCCGTTAATTAAAATTAACCCTCTCCTCAGGATGTGGAGAAATAGGAACACTTTTACACTGTTGGTGGGAATGTAAATTAGTTCAACCATTGTGGAAGACAGTGTGAGAATTCTCAAGGATCTAGAACCAGAAATACCATTTGACCCAGCAATCCCATTACTGGGTATATACCCAAAGGATTATAAATCATTCTACTATAAAGACACATGCACACATATGTTTATTGCAGCGCTATTCAAAATAGCAGACTTGGAACCAACCCAAATGCCCATCAGTGATAGACTGGATAAAGAAAATGTGGCACATATACAACATTGAATACTATGCAGCCATAAAAAAGGATGAGTTCATGTCCTTTGCAGGGACATGGATGAAGCTCAAAACCATCATTCTCAGCAAACTAACACAAGAACAGAAAACCAAACACTGCGTGTTCTCACTCATAAGTGGGAGGTGAACAATGAGACATGGACACATGGTGGGGAGCATTACACACTGGGGCCTGTCAGGGGGTGGAGGGATAGGGGAGGGATAGCATTAGGAGAAATACCTAATGTAGATGATGGGTTGGGTGCAGCAAACCACCATGGCAAGTGTATACCTATGTAACAAACCTGCAGGTTCTGCACATGTATCCCAGAACTTAAAGTATAATTAATTAATTAACATTCTCCTCATTCATAGATTGATTTTTATATTTCTATTATAGTAATTTTGCATTTCTATTATAGCAATTTGCAGTCTGTATTCTATGATTTATTTATGTATAGCTTTATCTCCCTGATTATAAATTCCTCGCATCATTTATTGAGGACTATGTTTCAGCAACAAAAACCTACTATGAAGCCTCCTGATTGACCTGGTGAAAAAGTTACCATCTTGGGTACTGGAGTCAGACATACCTGTGTTTGAATTATACCTCCAACAATCACGCAACACTGCCTAAGGCTCAGTTTCCACATCTACAAAGTCATAATAACAATATGAACCTATTGTGATGCTTAAATGAGATAATGAATATAGAGCATTTAACATATTTATTAATGTATTCTACAAAAATGTTACTGCCCATACAGAATTCCTGTATCAGGAATTCTGCTAGACACTGGAGACAGGGCAAAAAGGAAGACTTATAAGATTCCCACCTTCTTAGAGTTTATAAGTAAGAAAAGGTAGAAAGACATTAAACATGTAAAGAAATACAAATCACCCGATATCATAAGTGCTATGAAGGAAATAGACAGCAACTGGATAGGAGGAGCTAATTCAGTATCAGTTTAATGAATGGTGGTTATTTTAGTATTATTGTATCATTTTTAAAAATTCTTCACAGTACTATACCTGTGCTTTGTAGAACATATATACTTAATAAGTATTTGTTAAATTTACTTTTCCGTGGCTTAATTTGTATTAGGTAACACAAAAGAAAGGATCATGTGTTATGTGATATGTTCATAATCAGGCTGACCCAGCCCACATTTGCCATGTGCTACTCTTTCCCTTCTAAAGATCTAAACTACTTTAGAAGGAGAAAGTATTTGTTTAAATGCAATATAATACATTTGTTAATTAAATCTAAAAGAACTGAGATGTGGCACTTAAGGGAGTGACAGATTTGAATTTGACTAGCCAGGCTGTTTTTCCTGGAAGGAGGCTTTAGCAGCTAATCTAGGGAAGGAAATTTGTTGTTAAAAGCAAACACTAGCATATAATAACCAAACAAATGGTTTGCCATGTGGTGCATTAATTGTACTAATTTTAGGTTAAGAAGAGGTAGATCTCACACTGCTAAATGTTGATTACAATCTGGAAAATGCTGCATAGGAATTGAGCTTCTGTGCTTTAGCCAAGCAGTTTTACTTTTGTTTAAATCTATTTGGGTATGGGTAGAGACACATTGCTAGAAAAACAATTAGTTTGTGACACTAGATCCCCAGAGAGTGTTTTGGGGAACTGCTGTGATTAAACTCTTACGACACAATTTCTTTTTTTTTTTTTCTTTTTTCTCTTTTGAGACAGAGTCTTGCTGTGTCACCCAGGCTGGAGTGCAGTGGCATAATCTCGGCTCACTGTAACCTCTGCCTCCGAGGTTCAAGCGATTCTCCTGCCTCAGCCTCCCGAGTAGCTGGGAAGATAGGTCTGTGCCACCACACATGGCTAATTTTTTGTATTTTTAGTAGAGATGGGTTTTCACCGTGTTAGCCAGGCTGGTCTTGATCTCCTGACCTAGTGATCCACCCACCTTGGCCTCCCAAAGTGCTGGGGTTACAGGCTTGAGCCACCGCCCTCGGCCGTTTACAACACGATTTCAAACAAAACTTTATCCAATCGAGGTTTCTAACAGTTACACCCACCTTGCTCTGCAGCATGCCGCACACTACACTCATACTCACAAATGCAAACACACACTTATTATTTTCATAATGTTCACAAAGCCCGTGCAGTGTTGGGAATAAAAGTGAGCACACACATACACACAAAAATAACAGCACTAATGTTAGTTTTATTTTGAAAAGCACTAATTTGGAAACAACTGAATTTTCTCTGCCTTATTTATGTGCAGGTCAGTAAGATCCACTAGATCTAAAAATGGACTTTGTTGCTTCTTGTTTGTTTTCTCCTTAGCGGCTAGATTATATTCAGAAAATTTACAGTAAGCATCTGTAACTAAAAACTGAATCTTAAAATGGACTTCAAGTTTCTTCTGAGTTTTCAAGCATCCCTTTAAGCTCTCTGGTTCACATACATTTCTGTTGTTCTAAGGGTTAAAAACTGCACTATCACAATGACAAGTCTTATTACTCAGTCAAAGTAAATGGATCACCACATAACCTTTCAGAAATGTTCTTCCTTAAGCTATTAAAACATTCCATGCCCTTAGATGACAACAATTTCTCTGCCTTTTGAAATTTCTTTTCTATCCTGCAGAGTTCATAGAGATATGCTTGGTTAAAATCAACTTATATAAAACTATGCACTGTAAATTCTGACACTTCTGTTTGAATCTCTTTTCAAACACTTGTCTTTGCTCACCATAATAGATGTCAGTTCTTCTGATGTAGTTCAAGCATAAGCTTCATATGAAGACTCAGCTATGTCTATTGCATTTCTGAAGCTACTACTCACTGAAGTTTTGTGCTGTTTGACATCAAAGATAGGCAAGAATCACCTGCTGAGTTCACATGCATGGAGCAAAACATCTTCAAATCACTTTTGCTAGACAAAAGTTTTTTTTTTTTAATATTAAGCTTTCGCTATCATGTGGACTTAAAGACAAATGCAGTCCTCGTTAAGGTCGCAACATTGTATTATTAAAATATACATCGGAAGCTCTGAATTTAGCTAACTTTTAAACTGAAGGTAATTTGTGTAGTTGCTTCAGATTTGAACTGAGCTGCAAAGAATTCAACATCATTCAGACATTCAAAATGTGATTTTTATTCAATACGCAGTTATTTTGCTCAAAGGTAAAAGCACTTTGAACATTATCAAACCAAAAGAGAATCTTCTAATATTTCCAACTTTAATAGATGTCCTTGACATCAATTTAAGAGATGATTTCATTCAAAATACATGCATAGAGTATTTTAAAATTATATATTTTAATTTAAAAAAAAAAACTCTACTTACATTTTAGAGTTACCGTAAATGAAACTATGTATATCTTTTGGAAAACAATAACAGCAATATTTTCCATTTTTACTAAGCAAAGTAATTTGACATTACTCTTATTAAGCATCAATATTACACAGCATACAAACAATGTTATTAAAGAGATGTGAACATGAAAATTATAATGTTTTTATGTCTGTGGTGTTCTAAATAAAAGCTTTAATATTTGGACTCCCACTGCCCCAGTAATTAAACACAACAGAAAGGTAAGTGAATGATAGTAAAAACAAGGCAAAGACCTGGGCTTGCCCAAGGACAAACCTTTTTTAATAAGTTGGTTTTAATATGCCACTAGTTTTTAAATGTTGGCTTTCATAGGACAGAAATATTTCAAAACTTTGGGAGGATATTTGTAAATTTCTGTTTGCCATATTTAAATCTCTGGGTATGGGTGGAGAAGCATTGCTAGAAAAATTAGTTTGTGACAAACTATATGTATATTTTTAAATATATACATGTACATTTTAAATATAAAATCTATATATATATTTAAATACGTGTAGTTTCCTGTAAACATTATATATAAAAGGAAGGGCATTTCTATACCCCCCCCCCCAAAAAAAACCTGAAAACAAAGAAGTCACTAGATTGTTTTACTTTGTGTGCATCAGTATTTAGGAATTCCTGCTCATGGTTTTCTCATCCAACCCAGATATGCCCTGTGCTGATTTGTGGTCACACATATCAATCAGTTCAAATTGTCTCTGTGGTAAAGAGTTTAAATAAAGCACAAGGACAGAAGAAAAAATATGCACAGAATTTTTTTCAATCCACAAAAAGAATGCAGTGGAGAAAGAGATAAAATGTCATGTCAGCGTAATCCCTTAGCTAACTAGTCAACCAGAGAATGGCCACTCAAGTCCAGCACCTATGCCTTTCTTTATTGCAGTCACATTTTGAATTATCTTTCTATGCTATAAAAACTCTGATTAGAGAAATGTTCTCAGTTTTACATCTTGAAAAGGGTAAGGGTAGGAGCGGAATCAGTTCAGACATTAGTCAAGGATATAACAGAGCAAATAAGGAAGGAAAACACAAGAAGAGTTATGAAATGACACTTCAATTTTATTTTAATTGTCTAAAGTTACTATCAGTAAATACACTAAATTTAAATGTATCATTTGTGTTTGTTACAGAGACTGTTACAGCTTGCCAAAGTCCTTTGTGTACTCAGGAAGAAGTCCAGGTTCTTCATTTTTTCCAGGGTACACGGCTATAATACAGTCTCTCTTAAAAATCAGTGTGGTGATATTATTTAGTTCCAGCCAATGAAGTATAGTCAGAAGTAATGTTTGCTACTTTCAGACCCATACCTGGGCCCATAAAATCCTCCCTTGGCTTGCTTCCTTAAATTTTCTCCTATTCCAGCTTGAAAGGCATGTGTTGAAAATTATAGTCTCTGGCAGTCCAGGTCCCTGAATGACTGCATGGAAGAGACAGCTCCTTGACTTACCTTCCTATCAAAAATTGTTACATGAGCTTGAAATAGACTTATATTGTGTTTGCACCATTATACATTTTGGGTTCTACTTGTTATAATATGTAATCTACCATTGATCTACTTGTCAGTATCTTCTAGTGACAGGAGTTAAGCTGCCTATAACCTACAGATTTGAATGTTATTTTAAAATCTTCCAAAAAGCTTTTACTTTTTAATTAACAAAGGTGTGTGTTTTATACTGGACTATCTGTGAACATTTAACTGTCACATAATTATTCTCCCAGTCCTCTTCTGAGAAAAGTAGCCTCTGATGTAAGACGACACCCCACTGACCAGAGCTGGTCAGATGGATATTAACACTGGAGCCATATATCTCCTCTGAGAAACTTGCCACTTAGGTGAATGAGGGGAAAGACTAGGTAGAAATACAGAAAAAAGCATAAATAACTATCTAAAGATTATCCAACTTTGATAACAATGCTACACAGATAGATTCTTCTTCAAAACTTTAAAGTACAAAACATGAAAGTTCCTTTTTTTTTTCTGTTACTATTGCTGCGTAACAAACTACCCCAGAACTTAGTATCATAAAACATCCACTTTACTATGCTCATGGATTGTGTAGGTCTGGAGCTTGAACAGTCGGAGAAAGAATGAATGTTCTCTGCCCCATAATGACTAGAGTCTCAGATGGGAAGGTTTAAAGGCTGTGAGGGCATTAACAGCTAAGAGTTAGAATCATATTACAAGAATTCAGCAAGATGAAATATTCAAAGTTCTTTCCACATTGTCTAGAAAACAGAATGCAATCTCTGAATAGTAACCATTATTATTACCCATAGAAATGAGTAAGGAGGCCAGGCACTGTGCTATAATCCCAGTGCTTTGAGAGGGTAAGGTGGGAGGATAGCTTGGGGCTAGGAGTTCCAGACAAATCTTGGCAACATAGGGAGACCCCAATCTCTACAAAAATGTAAAGTCAGTCAGGTGTGGTATCACACATCTGCAGTCCTAGCTACTCAGGAGGCTGAGGTGAGAGGATCACTTGATCCCAGGAGTCTAAAGTTGCAGTGAGCTATGATCTTGCTGCCACTGCTCTCCAGCCTGAGAGACGAAGGGAGAATCTGTCTCTATAAAGGTACATACATACATACATATATACGGGTAAGGTATACTCTCCCTCAGGAAGATCCGTTTAGGAAGAGATAATGAATATGCTTAATTAATTTGTAATGAATATATCTAATAAAAAAATGTAAAATCATTATTAGTTTTTACATTGTGATCAGTCACAACTATATAATAGCAATATTTTTAAAGTGCTAAAGTTCTCAGGGTCTTTTCCTTACTCATAATACATTTTCCACCTACCTGCCAGAGGCATCCAACTGACACACTATCTCACTGCCCAAAATCTATTAGGGTAAGTGCAATTGTTTGACACACTAGGTACTTTGTGACCCGATTTTATGTCTCCTGCTTCATCCTCTACTCTTCCACTCTCCCATTTAGTTTACATTGCAACCTTGCAGAAATATTGTCCAGTTGCATTCTGCCAAGTTCTTACTCATCTCCTTCTGTCTGGATGTGCTTCTCTACTCTTGTCATACTCTATTATTTTATCTTATCATTTAGCCTCAGCATGATCTTTTCTGGAAAGTCTTTTGCTATGCACCACTCAGGCAAGCATAGATTCTCACCATCTCTATTGGGACAGCTTGTATTGACTCTACCACAGAACTCCACATAGTACAGAAATTTTATCATCCATTGTAGACAGTAAGCTCCCAATGGACAAGGATTATTCTTTTATTCATTTATGTTCAGAAAAAAAATTGTTTACAATCTTTCAAAGAACATGGAGGGGACAGTGAATACTATTTTTACACATACAGTTTTCTAGGTGCAAAATGCTATATAATTTAACTTGAGTTATCAGAAGTAAACATATGTTAAAGCATATCTAAGAAGGCCAAACTTAATATACTTTAGTCATTTCTTACAAGATTTGGTTTGAAAATGTTGGCATAAAGATAAATACCCTATGTTGAGAAATATGACTATGCAGAACGTTTGTGAAACTTTTAAGTTTTGTGAAGTTGAATAAAATGATCTGTATTCACATTCATTATATTTTTTATTTAGTAAACTATATTTTTCAGATTCCTAAATATTTAATAACAATAATAATGTAAATATTTTAATGCACACGCTCTTGTCTTGTATGGATTTTCATTGACAAATTGGCACTGTGTACTAAAAATCCCTTAGATATATAAAACATAAACTTAGTGATCAGTAAACTATCAAAATAATACATATTTTAAATAAGGATAGTGATGAAAGAAGCTTAAGCTGTTATTTTGTTCAAGGTAGACTATTAAGTAATTCTTTTCTCAAGTAATATGTCTCTGTAACAGGAATTAGCTCACAGGTGGCTCAGTAAACAGAAAAATGATGTTAGTATAAAGAATAGTTTTCTTGTCACATTACTATTTCATGTCACATATAGCATCAGCAAAAGGCAAAGTATTCTAAGTGTAACTACCAGTAAAACAGAATATAGTGCTGTACTCAATGCCTGGCCATTTGGCATTCTTTCTCTCTACTCAGTTTGGTCACATGATTTGTCTTGGAGAAATTTGTATTTGGATTTTTCCTGATTTTGCGCACTCTGCATTTGTCTCAAACATCCTCAAGGCTTTCTTAAATTTCCTTCCAACAAGCTACCTTCATCTGTTTTTAAATATAAAGTCCTACAGTGCCATGTTATTTATTTAATTTATTGGGGTGTGACATATCTTTTAGGGTATATTAGTGTGTTCTCAGAGTTGTTATTATTTTTGCTAGTGATATGGAAACAGAGTTGCCTAGAGTTTCAGTAGTTCACCCCACTCCTCTTTTTCCTCTAAGTACAATTTTACTAAATGCAAGGTTTTTCCAGAATGCCTAAATCACTTTTAATCACAATGCCTTTACTGCATGCATTGTTTTGTCTACATGTTACAGATGAAAGACATAAAGGACAATGATCTACACAAGTTAATATTCACAACAAATATATTAAGAACTTTGTAAGAGTTTCTATTTTTAAAACCACGTTTTATTTGTTGTGAGTAAAATATTCAATATTCTTTAAAATGATTATCACTGAAGGGTCAACTAAACCATTTCTGGATGTCTTATTTTGGATTTTAAAAGAGAAATTAAGCTGAAATAATTATTTTTATAAGACATTTGTTAAAAATTTATAGTAAACTAAATCACTGTAACAGAAACTATCCTTCAAAATAAAAATATAAGCAAAAACACACACAAAAATGTTAACTTATCTTCTTGCCTTGATCAATCTTTACACTTAATATACTTGTTTGGTTTCCACATAGTTCAAATTTACTAAGAAATATAGTAAGTAATAATAATTTGTTTAATGTATTAAAAAATTGTCAATGCAAAAAGGGGAAGTAATGACTTTGCTCCCATGAGGTAAAGAATGTGAATAAAATGTGACTCAATCCTGTAGTCTGCAAGAGAAATCACAATCCTGCTCTAGAACTGACTTTACTTGCTCAAAACATGCCAATTGTCTCTCTCTGAACCAATCATTGTGGTGAAGGGAATAAGATATGCAGATTAACTTAACCTAATGAGGCACTCCCCAGCCATATAGACAGAATGGGAGAGGAGGTTCCCAAAAGATATAAACTGTCAAATATATAAAAAGATAATCATCCTCATTTGTAATAAGAGAAACACCAATTAAAACTACAATGGGATATAATTTCTCACCTATCAGATTGGCAAAACTCCAAAAGTTTGAAAACACACTCTAACGGTGGGGCTGCAGAGAATCAGAAACTATCCTATACTGCTGAATAGTGTGCAAATAGTTACAATTCCCATAGAATTGGCATTATCTTAAAGAAATCTATGTCATTAGATCAGGAAATTCTGCCTCTAAGAAATCTACCATGAAGACGTGCCTCTACATGTATGAAAAAAAATTCAAAATAATCCCAATGTCCATTACTAGCCATCTGGTTAAATAAACTATGATACATGGACATAATGTAGTATTATGTGACCATAAAAAAAGAAAGAAAAAGATTTCAGTGTGCTGATATGGAGTGATATTGGGTATTATTGTTAGGATAGAAAAAATCAAAATACAGAGCAATGAATATTTTATGACACTTTTGTGTAAGAAAGAAAATAGAAAAATATGTATTTGCTTACTTTTGTAAGAAACAACTGAATGATAGAACAAAAAATAATAAAAATGGTCACCTATGAAGAAAGGAGTTGACAGAGTTGAGATGACTGAAATGAGAGCGGACTTCACTAATATTTTATATCATTTTGACTTTTGAAACATACTATCATTTTGCTTTAGATTGTCTAAAAATCTAAAGCAAGCTGAAACAAATAAACCAATTATTTACCAAACTGATAACATGACAACAAAGAGACAGAGAAGGAAAAATGATTTTTTAAGTGTGGTCTAAACAGAACGCTGTGACTGTATAACCTTAGTGGCATATATTCTAAGGACACAAGAGAATTCAAAGAAACTGTCACCTTTACTCTGAAGTGAAAATATATAGTTAAAGCAAATATAGAAAAATGTTTATAATTTTTGAATATGGCCTGTGGCTATGTGGACATTCATGGCAATACTTTCAGTTCTTCTGTATATTTGAAATGTTTTATAACAAAATATTGGAAACAAATCATGACCATTAACTAAGCCAAGAAGTTTCGAGACATTTTGTGGGTTATCACTTTGTTCCAAAGTAGATATTTTTACAAAGTAGGGTAAAATGTTCTTATATCACATGCTTCAAAAGCTAGAAGAAAAAAAGTCTGGGAGACTTCTCCATATCCTGAATATACTAAATGGCTTAAGTAAAGCTACAAATATACGTATCATAGAGTTTTTAAAAGAACTCATTGTCTGAATGATAAAAATTAAAATTGTCTTTCAATGAAGGAGATCATGAAGATGATAGAGAAGATATTTGCAATATTAAAAACAACAAAGTATTAATATCCCAATCATAAAGAGTTTCTGACAATCAACAAAGTAGACAGGAATTTCATAGGAAAATCAGTAAACCAGCCTAAGCAACATGGCGAAACCCCGCCTCTGTGAAAACACAGAATTAAAGAGGAAATTAGAGGGTGAAGGAAGAAAAGTTGAGCGAAAATCTTTCCAGCCTGAGAACAGTATTTCATGGATACACATGTATGAGGGGCACTAAGAAAGCCAAGTCAGCCTTTGCTCTGGTATACAAGCATTCTGGCGAAGCCCGCTAGCTCCATGCATTTGGAAGAGGCACCCTCTGGCATGATGGGAGCTAAACTGAAAACTAGAGCGATAGCACGTGTGTGCCTGTAGTCCCAGCTACTTGGGAGGCTGAGGCAGGAGGATCACTTGAGCCTGGGAGGCGGAGGTTGTAAGGTTGTAAGACCTTACATAAGTCTTACAAGCTCATAGACAGGAGCTTCTACAAACTTTTATGCCTGGGGGGATCCATCCTCCATGGAGCCTGAAGGCAAATTGATGTGTTGCTGTATTTAATTTTCATCTACCACCATTTTGTTTTAAAAATATTTAGGAATAATATGCCCTTCAACTCATGATGTAACTATTAATTATTCATTCAAACAATTGCATGGATTGTGTAATGTATGCCACACTATCAAAACCCCTTTTCTATTAAAACTAATAGATTACTAGTAAAACAAGCAAGCAAGCAAACAAACAAACAGCTAAATATATACAGGACTTCCACTTCTGAACAAAGTAAAGGAGCAGAGACCAAATTTATTCTGCATCATGCAACTAGAGGGTTGGACAAAATAAATAAAAGAACATTTTTTAAGCTTTAAGCAACAGATGATTGGTGAATGTGATCGCTGAATAAATAAATAAAGCAAGCCCTCAATTTTACTGGAGGCAGTTTCCAAGCAGCAACACAGGCAGGAGACCCTCAGTGTCCAGATGTCTCACTACATTAAGGAATCAGAGATTGAAGCTCTGGGAGAACAAGATAGCTTTTCAGGAGAGACTACTGGAGAGGAGGAAGATACACAGAAAGACAGCTCTAAATTCTACACAGGGACACTTTCTAGTTTTTGGCTTTATGCTGAGATGCAAATATGTGAGAGAAACTACCTTAGGCTGGGCAAAGAACCAATGGAAAAGAGCTTGCAGAACAATTCCAGAGGCTGATATCATGATGGGAATAGTTCATATTCTCACTGGCCTGATTGGAAAGAAATAGGAAAATATGGAGTATTAGATAAACTTCTCAAAATAATATCTCATTCATAGTGGAAATCAATTAGCCCAAGACTACAGACAACTCTGGACCTGACCTAACAAATCTTAAAAACAAACTTTGATAGCATCCATCTGATTCCAAGGAATTTAGTCTTATGCCAGAACAAAATCCAACTCTATTTTAGGGAATATGACAAAGTAAAATTCACAATGTCTAACCAAAAAAAAAAAAAAAAACCACACACACAAATTAATAGACATACAAAGAAGCATGAAAATATGATCTCTAATTAGCAAAAATAAATAACAAACCAGTGCAAAAATGAGAGAGGTGATGGAAATGGCAAAAAAAAGAGGACATTGAAGGAGCTACTGTGAACATGCTACATATGTTCACCTAGGTAGCAGAAAATATGTACATAATGAAGAAAAATGAAATATATCAAAAAGCAAAAATAGAATATCTTGAGATTTAAAAATGTATAATATATGAAATGAAAATACAGTGGATGCAATTAACAGTATATGAGACATTATGAAGATCAGTGCATTTCTAAACATGGCAATATAAACAATCCAAAATGAAATACAGAGAAAAAATGACTACAAAATGAACCAAGCATTAATATTCAGTGGGAAAATATTAATTATCTGTTTCTCATAATTAGAGTCCTAGAGGAAGAGGTGTTGAAGGCAGAAAAAAATATTTAAAGAAATAATGGCTAGGGTTTTGAAGGGTTAGCCATTATTTCTTTAAATATTTTTTTCTGCAAAAACCCTTCAAAAAATCAATGAATCCAGGAGCTGGTTTTTTGAAAGGATCAACAAAATTGATAAACCGCTAGCAAGACTAATAAAGAAAAAAAGAGAGAAGAATCAAATAGACACAATAAAAAATGATAAAGGGGATATCACCACTGATCCCACAGAAATACAAACTACCATCAGAGAATACTACAAACACCTCTACACAAATAAACTAGAAAATCTACAAGAAATGGATAAATTCCTCGACACATACACTCTCCCAAGACTAAACCAGGAAGAAGTTGAAACTCTGAATAGACCAATAACAGGATCTGAAATTGTGGCAATAATGAATAGTTTACCAACCAAAAAGAGTCCAGGACCAGATGGATTCACAGCTGAATTCTACCAGAGGTACAAGGAGGAACTGGTACCGTTCCTTCTGAAACTATTCTAATCAATAGAAAAAGAGGGAATCCTCCCTAACTCATTTTATGAGGCCAGCATCATCCTGATACCAAAGCAGGGCAGGACACAACCAAAAAAGAGAATTTTAGACCAATATCCTTGATGAACATTGATGCAAAAATCCTCAATAAAATACTGGCAAAACGAATCCAGCAGCACATCAAAAAGCTTATCCACCATGATCAAGTGGGCTTCATCCCTGGGATGCAAGGCTGGTTCAATATACGCAAATCAATAAATGTAATCCAGCATATAAACAGAGCCAAAGACAAAAACCACATGACTATCTCAATAGATGCAGAAAAAGCCTTTGACAAAATTCAACAACCCTTCATGCTAAAAACTCTCAATAAATTAGGTATTGATGGGACGTATTTCAAAATAATAAGAGCTATCTATGACAAACCCACAGCCAATATCATACTGAATGGGCAAAAACTGGAAGCATTCCCTTTGAAAACTGGCACAAGACAGGGATGCCCTCTCTCACCACTCCTATTCAACATAGTGTTGGAAGTTCTGGCCAGGGCAATTAGGCAGGAGAAGGAAATAAAGGGTATTCAATTAGGAAAAGAGGAAGTCAAATTGTCCCTGTTTGCAGATGACATGATTGTATATCTAGAAAACCCCACTGTCTCAGCCCAAAATCTCCTTAAGCTGATAAGCAACTTCAGCAAAGTCTCAGGATACAAAATCAATGTACAAAAATCACAAGCATTCTTATACACCAACAAAAGACAAACAGAGAGCCAAATCATGAGTGAACTCCCATTCACAATTGCTTCAAAGAGAATAAAATACCTAGGAATCCAACTTCCAAGGGATGTGAAGGACCTCTTCAAGGAGAACTACAAACCACTGCTCAAGGAAATAAAAGAGGATACAAACAAATGGAAGAACATTCCATGCTCATGGGTAGGAAGAATCAATATCGTGAAAATGGCCATACTGCCCAAGGTAACTTACAGATTCAATGCCATCCCCATCAAGCTACCAATGACTTTCTTCACAGAATTGGAAAAAACTACTTTAAAGTTCATATGGAACCAAAAAAGAGCCCGCATCGCCAAGTCAATCCTAAGCCAAAAGAACAAAGCTGGAGGCATCACACTACCTGACTTCAAACTATACTACAAGGCTACAGTAACCAAAACAGCATGGTACTGGTACCAAAACAGAGATATAGATCAATGGAACAGAACAGAGCCCTCAGAAATAACGCCACATATCTACAACTATCTGATCTTTGACAAACCTGAGAAAAACAAGCAATGGGGAAAGGATTCCCTATTTAATAAATGGTGCTGGGAAAACTGGCTAGCCATATGCAGAAAGCTGAAACTGGATCCCTTCCTTACACCTTATACAAAAATCAATTCAAGATGGATTAAAGATTTAAACGTTAGACCTAAAACCATAAAAACCCTAGAAGAAACCTAGGCAATACCATTCAGGACATAGGCATGGGCAAGGACTTCATGTCCAAAACACCAAAAGCAATGGCAACAAAAGACAAAATTGACAAATGGGATCTAATTAAACTAAAGAGCTTCTGCACAGCAAAAGAAACTACCATCAGAGTGAACAGGCAACCTACAAAATGGGAGAAAATTTTTGCAATCTACTCATCTGACAAAGGGCTAATATCCAGAATCTACAATGAACTCAAACAAATTTACAAGAAAAAAACAAACAACCCCATCAAAAAGTGGGTGAAGGACATGAACAGACACTTCTCAAAAGAAGATATTTATGCAGCCAAAAAACACATGAAAAAATGCTCATCATCACTGGCCATCAGAGAAATGCAAATCAAAACCACAATGAGATACCATCTCACACCAGTTAGAATGGCAATCATTAAAAAGTCAGGAAACAACAGGTGCTGGAGAGGATGTGGAGAAATAGGAACACTTTTACACTGTTGGTGGGACTGTAAACTAGTTCAACCATTGTGGAAGTCAGTGTGGCGATTCCTCAGGGATCTAGAACTGGAAATACCATTTGACCCAGCCATCCCATTACTGGGTATATACCCAAAGGACTATAAATCATGCTGCTATAAAGACACATGCACATGTATGTTTATTGCGGCATTATTCACAATAGCAAAGACTTGGAACCAACCCAAATGTCCAACAATGATAGACTGGATTAAGAAAATGTGGCACATATACACCATGGAATACTATGCAGCCATAAAAAATGATGAGTTCATGTCCTTTGTAGGGACATGGATGAAATTGGAAATCATCATTCTCAGTAAACTATCGCAAGAACAAAAAACCAAACCGCATATTCTCACTCATAGGTGGGAGTTGAACAATGAGATCACGTGGACACAGGAAGGGGAATATCACACTCTGGGGACTGTGGTGGGGTGGGGGGAGTGGGGGGGATAGCATTGGGTGATATACCTAATGCTAGATGACGAGTTACACCAGCATGGCACATGTATACATATGTAACTAACCTGCACAATGTGCACATGTACCCTAAAACTTAAAGTATAATAAAAAAAAATAAATAAATTAAAAAAAGGAAGAAATAATGGCTAAATATTTTCCAAATCTGATGAAACTATAAATTCATACATCTAAAAATTCAACAAGCCCCAGACAGAATAAACATAAGTAAACCACTCCTAAACACATTATAGTTAAATTGCTGAAACCAGTTCTAAGTTGAAAATTGTTTAAAGCAACCAAATGAGAAAAGACATCAATGTTTCGAGGAAAGAGATAAAGATTTACAGCCAATTTTTTGCTGGAAACTATGCAGTACAAAAGACAATAAAGCAATATTTTTAAAGATCTGGTGCAAAAAAAAATATTAATCAAGAATTCTTAAGGAGTAAAAATATCATTCAAAAATGAAAGCAAAATAAAAAATATTTTCTGGCCAATACACTGAGAGAATTAATCACAAACAGACCTGTATTATAAGAAAATCATAGTAATTCTTCAGGGAGGAGGAACATTGTAGCAGAAAAATTTCAATCCACACAAAGCATGAAGAGCACCAAAAATAGTAAATATATAACTAAATAAAAATGTTTCCATTTAATAATTTTGTTAAGACAATTAACTATTTAAAGCAGGAATGATAGCAATATAATGTGGGTTTTAGAACATTCACCAACATGGATGAGTCGCAAAAGAATCTTGCCACATGAAAGCAAACAGAAACAACAGATTACATATTGCATCATTCAGTTTTTATTAAATACTAGAAAATGCAACGCAAGAGTAAAGAAAACAGATAAGTAGTGGCCAGAGATGGGCCCTGGGTAGGGGATTGACTGCAGAGGGATATAAGGAGAATTTAAGGATGTTGGAAATATTATATTGTCATAATTGTAGCAGTGGCTAACTATCTACCAGTACTCACAAATCAAATTGTACACTTACAATTGGTAAATTTCTATATGTAAAATATACCTTTGTGAAACTGATTTTTAAAGAGTAAAAAATAAAAAGGCCACCAGTCTAAAAAGAAAGTTGCAAGTCAATAACAGTTTTACATTTAAGAAAATACTTAACTTTTTTTTAACTGACAACTTTTTTAGAGTGATATCTGATTTTTGGACTGATTTGACTGTTCGTCAGTCAAACTATTCAAACAAATTTGTGGATATGAATATAATCTTAATACAGAATGATTTTTTCCTCAATGTATGCTGAGGTTCCTAAGGTATAAATGGGCTATATGTAAATGAAGAATATATATATAAATCTAACAGAGGAAATTAAAGCTAAAATATAAAACTAATCTGTCTTTGTTTTTCCCCAGTCCTACCTACTTTCTAAGGGTGTAAGAATCTTGATAGAGTCAACTAATGAAGTTTGGTTGAAAATTTGACTATCATGTATAGACACAGGGTTGAACATATTTTCATATTTAAATATAGAAATAAAAGTTATCATCTGAAAAATCCTATCCAAAAACTTTTTCACCTCAGCAACATTCATTTTTAAAATGTATAAATCCTCTGATCACTTTAACATTGGGAGCAGAGTTCAGTTAGATAGTTTTAAAAGAGTCCAGGTATTAGCCAGTGTTGACTTGCCTTAGAGTAACAGGAGAGGACAGATTCCAGACGGATTTTGATGCTGAACTCACAAAACTTGCTGATGGCTTAGATATGGGTGTGCTGAAGAACTGGGTAAATGGTGGTTCCATTTTCTGAATTGGAAGAAAATGGTAGAAAATTTGGGAAAGGTAAGTCAGGAGTTCTTATTCAGACAGCTTGAATTTGAGATGCTTATTAGATTTGCAAGTGGAGAGTCACAAAAGCTACTGTAAAACAAAGCCTGCTGTTTAGGAGAAAGATGGCACCTGGATATGTAAGTTTAAAAGTTTTTGGTTTATAGGTAGACTGTCAGCTCAATTGAGTCTCCCACCCCAGCTCCCAATTCATAAGTTGAAGTCCTATCCCTCAGTACCTCAGCATAGACATAAAGCTTTTGAAGAGGTGATTAATTTCAAATGAGTTATTTAGGGTGGGCCATAATCCAATCTGACTGGTATTCTTATAAAAAGAGGAGATTAGGACACAGACACAGCCATACTTATGTGAGTACAGAGAGAGAGAAGGCGGCCATCTACAAGCAAGACATGTTGTAGGAGAAACCAAACCTGTGATTCCTTGATCTTGGACTTCTAAGCTTCAGAACTCTGAGAAATAAATTTTCATTATTTAAGCCACCTAGTCTGTGGTACAGATGCTCCTCACTTTACCATGGGGCTATGTTCCATTAACACCATCATAATCTGAATATATCATAAGTTGAAAATGCACTTAATTCAACTAACCTACTGAACACCATAGCTTAGCCTAGCCTACCTTAAACGTGCTCAGAATACTTACATTAGCCTGCAGTCAGACAAAATCACCTAACACCAAGTCTATTTTATAATAAAGTGTTGAATATCTCTTGTAATTTATTAAATACTCTACTGAAAGTGAAAAATAGAATGGTTTTATTGGTAATTGAAGTACAGTTTCTACTGAATGTGTATTGCACACCACCATAAAGTTGAAAAATCTAAGTTCAACCATTGTAGGTAGGAGACTGTGTTTTGTTACAGTAGCTCCAGCAAACTAATACATGGATATGGCCTAAAGACACTGCATTGAATAAGATCACCTAGAAAACAAGTGTTGACAGAAAAAAGTAGAGTTCCAAAGGCTGAAACTTAGTGCATTCCAATCATTACAGACCAGAAAGAAAAAGAAGAAGATACAATAGAGACAGAATGGGTAACTTATCAATTATACAAAAAGAAAAAGTGTGGAGTCCTGGAAACCCAGTGAAAAAAACAAGTTTCAAAGAGGGAGTGATCAACTCTACTGAGTACTAAGTGGTCAGGTAAAATATAATTTAAAAAATAACCTATTGATTTTGCCAGGTCAAGGTCATCATTGACTTTGACAAGAGAAGTTTCATGGAGTAGCTGGAAAGGAAACCTGACTGTAATTGGTTCTAAAGAGACTGTAGTCAATTCAATCCCTCTCAAAACTCTGGCACAACTTTGTGAAAAGGATTTTTTAAAACTATAAAACCATAACAATTGGGTGAACATGAGAGAAGACAATAGTAACATGATTTTAGAAACTAAAAAGCAGATGGAGAATTGATAACTGACTTAATAGAACAAAGAAAGCCAAATCCTATGCCAGCATTGAATTAAACTGATTGGAGTTGTACTTTATAATGAGCAGTGAGCTTAGGAATTTTAAGTGATTTTGAAGGGAGTAGTTAAAATAAGAAGACTGTATGAAAGTGGTTGGAGACTATATTATTCCCTCCCCTTCTAACCTGGAAGAAGACCTAGTGTCTATTCTCAGAAGATATTAAAGCATAGGTAATTGCAACCATTGAAGGCATAGAATGACCATTTACCTACTGAATGCTAAATGTAAAACCTTCCAGTGCCCTTCCCCCATTCAAGTTCCAGAATGCTGCTAGCCTAACCGTTATCCTCCAAAGAGGAGTGTGAGGACTCCTCTCTGAGAAATAAACCATCCCAAAAGGAAACACCTAAGAGTAACGACGATGGGGGTGTTTGCCCGCAAACCTCCCATCTTAGATCACCCTTTAGGGAATACTTCCAACTTCCACTACCCATATACATACAAATACTATGATCTTTCTACCATCTCCTTAGACTCTCATTCGTAATCAGAAGCAGACAATCTAAGATTACCAGACAGCTGAGAAAACTCTGTAACAAGATGGAGACCTAAACGACATGATAAAGCATCCTCAAGGAAACAGACCATGCAGGAAGAAAATTAAATGGGGAATGCAGGATAATGGCTGTCACTAGATATAGAGAAGTTCATATAACAGCTGAGTGACCCATAAATAAATATAAAGAAAATTTAAAAAGTTTGACATCTGTCATCTCTAAGATCCTCGTTCCTTCTTTTTAACTGAGGGCAAAAAGCCCAAATGAACAAAGTTTATACATTTTTTAAAAACTATTCTTTTCTTGTTCCTTGCTGATGTAATCCTGCACTTCCCACCAGAATTAGCTAAGGATGCTCATTTTCTGCTTTGGCTTTTTTCAGCACTTCCTGATCGGCCTCATCATACCTCCTTAGAAGCACCTTCAGAAACTCATGGTCAAGCTCAAGGTTTGCAAAGCCTTTCTGACTCCAAAGTTTGGATAAACCCCACCTCTTCCCTCTGTATACTCACATGAATATAGCTATGTCTGTGTCCTAATCTCCTCTTTCTATAAGGGTACCAGTCAGATTAGATTATACCCCACCCTAAAGAATTTACTTGAAATTAATCACCTCTTCAAAAGCTTTATCTCTGCTGGGCATGGTAGTTCACACCTGTAATCCCAACACTTTGGGAGGCCAAGGCGGGTGGATCACCAGAGGTCAGGAGTTTGAGACCAGCCTGTCCAACATGGTGAAACCCTGTCTCTACTAAAAATACAAAAATTAGCCAGGTGTGGTGGTGTGTGCCTGTAATCCCAGCTGCTCGGGAGGCTGAGGCAGGAGAATCGTTTGAACCCCAGAGGCGGAGGTTGCAGTGAGTCAAGATTGCGCCATTGCATTCCAGCCTGGGCAAAAAGAGCAAAACTCCATCTCAAAAAATAAAATAAAAATAAAAATACAAGCTTTATCTCTATTCATGCCCATTCTGAGGTACTGAGGGACAGGACTTCAGCTTATGAATTGGGAGCTAGAAGTGGCAGCTATGTCCTACAGTTATTAACTCTATGTTATCTCAGCTTTCCCATTTAGCTTTTCACTCCCCTAACATCTGTGTAATTAATTGTGTATATTAAGCTCCCTCATTTTAAAATACCTAGTTTGGGCCAGGCACAGTGACTCACACCTGTAATCCCAGGACTTTGGAAGGCCAACATGGGTGGATTACTTGAGGCCAGGAGTTTGAGACCAGCCTGGCTAACACAGTGAAACCCTGTCTCTATTGGAGAAAAATATATATATATATATATATATTTAGCCGGGTATGGTGGTGCACGCCTGTATTCCCAGCTACTCAGGAGGCCGAGGCATGAGAATCACTTGAACCTGGGAAGCAGAGGTCACAGTGAGTGATCACACCACTGCACTCCAGCCTGGTTGACAGAGTGAGACTCTGTCTCAAAAAAAAAAAAAAAAAAATACCTAGTTTGCCTTTTGTTTATTGACTGAACCCTAACTGATACAGGGAAGGTATGGTAAAACTGATATACCCACACATTGCTGGCGTCAGTATACATTTGTGCAAAATCTTTTGGAAGGCAAATCAGCAATACCTGTCAGGAGCCAACATAATGATCAAAAACTTTGATTTACTAATCCTGTATCTATCAATCAGCTGTAGTAACAAGCGAACCCCAAATCACAGTGACCTACAATATGACATTTCTTTCTCAACACATGATTGCTGTGTAGACTGCAGCTTTGTTTCCACCTGCAGAACTGCTCCACAAGCATTCTTAATCTACGACACGAGCTCAAAGAGGAGCATTGTTTTCATGACAGAAGTGCCAACCCAAAGCACATAATCTCTTTTAAAACTTCTGCTCAGACCTATCTCACTGTTACTTCAGCTTATGTTTTATTGCCCCAAACAAGTCATATAAACAATTCTGACAGTGATGCAAAAACTTTTTATCCTACCTATTAGGAAGGTCTCTCAAGTCTTGTGGAAAAGAACATGGACATATAATCCTTCCACAAAGAAGGAGCAGATAGTTGGAGATAATAATTCTTTCAACCACACTACTCTTGGTAATTTTTCTAGTTTAGGCAAGTTCTAAATAATTCAAAAACTTAAAAAACTGTATTCACAAAAATGTTGAATGCAACATTAATTAATAAAATTTGTAAATAAAATATGGTAAAGGCAACACAAATTTAGTTCAATAGCAAAATACATCATAAAATTATTTAAAATGATAATGTAACTAGAAGTAAAATGATTAGAAAGTCATTGAAAAAATAAAAACATTTGAGTATTAAGATAACTTAGAGTATATTTTATATATACAGAATGACTAGACATAAACTAAAAATGAAAACAAAGAATTAACAAAGGATGTGTTGTTTAGAGTGTTGTAGATTTTTTAAAATTTCCCTTATTATTGATAAAATTATGATTTTATAATAAATATAAGTAGAATAATAACTTTTATATTTTAAGAAACCAAATTCCTCCAAACATGTTTTGGGATTGTTGGTTTATAGCATGCAATATTCATTAGAACAAGAAATAGGAAGTTTTTCTCCTTTATAAATAAATAAAAATAGATCTAATTAAATGCATGCAACTTTTCCAGTTGAAATCTCTAGATAAATCAAATCTTTTTTCATATGGCTAGTGTGGTCAGATCTGTGCTAAGTGCAGGAAATACGAAGACAGCTCCTGTCATTCAGATGATCTGCTATAATTAATTTTTGTTGTTGTTGCTGAATTAAATATCTGTATAACCATAGCTTTGATTCCTTGTGATTCAGATTTGATTAATACTATTAAAATAGAATATTCTTATGTTATATTGTATTTAAGAAGAAATATTTATATCCTCTTTATTCAGGTGAAAGTAACATAAAGTAATTAATGATGAAGTCCTAATGAAAAACAGAACACTTCTTTTTTACAAAGTACCAAATCTTTTAAATGAAAAGTATGATTATATTCCTCTGATGCAATATATTGAGATTGTTTGTTGTATATATTCAGAACTTACTGTAACAATGTATTTATTTTAACAAGGAGAATTAATAGTTCTTTTCTAATTCATTTATCATGGTGTTATTTTTCATAAGATAAAAATATTTCCATATATTGGAAATATAAAAAACCTACCAACAATTTGCCAATATAGAACAAAAACAGAGGTAGTTAAGTTTTACAATTTAAGTCAATTATTTTTAATATTGTAATGAATGCTTGTCAGGATTTTGGCAAGGCTAAATATTCCAAATATGATATCACGCATTTGTTCTCATCTTACAAAGAAAATGAGATTATACATTGTTCATTTTATAAAGTCTTTTTATTCTCTCATATTGACAGAGGATCTGTTAGTAAATTACCTCATCTGGTATTCTAAGTAATCCATTGGTGGCCTGAGCTAATGCAACTACAAATAAAGATATTCCTTTTCTGACAAAAGGATCAGGTCTATAATTTGTTTGTTTTTTGTTTAATGAGCAAGAAAACACTAATGTTATTCTTTCATTTTTAAAACTATTGACTGGCTATGTTTCTCCATTAAAGTCATTGAATAAAATCTCTGTATGACATATCCTGAATTCCTTGTGATCCAGGTATTTTATTTCATTAGAGCCACAAAGTTTTAACTCTCTGATTCATTAAGGTTTACCTAGAGTTGTCATAGGGAACCACACAGAGTGTGAGAATTTAATCCTCATTCAAATAAGAATATTCACCATGTCCAAAAAGAACTGATTACTATTGTTTGATTCAATGAAAAGAAATCTAAGTGTCTACTTCTATTGTGCACATAAAAATACAGGTATTATCAGAATTATGCTCACTTCTGCCTGTCATGATATGAAAAGGAACTTGGAAATTCAGGGAGAGAACTTGAAATGGAATGAAAAGTTGCATAGATGATTATCTTTTTAATTTCATATAGTCACATTTCTAAACAAACTTACAAAATGATTTCTTCTATTTCTAAATAACACAAATAAATACACTCAATATTTTATTTTTTCAAAATATTTCATCATTTCACAAGTTGATTCAAATAGAAAGTCTACATCAAGGTAACTATGTAAAAACTTACTATAAGAATCTAAGTCTTAATGAAACTCTTCAAAACTGCAAAATCTAAACTATGCAGTGCTTTATTTTTCAATTTCACCATTACTCTGAGAAAACACAAGGGGAAAAATCTAAATCTAAACAATTTCACTTATTTCCTTCCAAACCATTATTTATATAAAAGTAGAAGTTTTCGCTAATATTCTTAAACAAAAATTTTCTTGCTAAAATATTCTCATAATAGCAGAAATTAAGGACACAAAAGCTAAATTTTCACAGGTCAGAATAAAAGTAAGTTTACTTTTTAATACTTTAATAAATGTCATTAGTTAAAAATGTTATTCTATTAATTTTAAACATTATGTGTATTTATTTTTATTTAATTTTCCATGTTTGTAATAATAGAATGCTTCATTAACAGCAGAATGTTGTACTGGGACACAGTGAAATAACTCAGAATCATTTTATAACTGACATGTAATAGGTTTTTTTTATCTAATACCCAAGGATTCTCAAAGAAAAATAAGACTCTAATCTGAATTGACCCTGAATAGACATTGGCAACTCTTAGCCTGTTGTAGGACAGTTTAGTAATAGGTTTAGCCAAAAGCAAATTCTTGACCTGATCCCACATTTAGAAAATACATTTTTATAGAAAACATTGGATCTTACAAATAGTAGTAAAAAACAAACAAAATGTAGGTGTTGACAAAGTTGTACCTATTACCACCTCCAGGGAGACAGAGTACCACAGCACAGAGGATAGCAAACAGCATAACAACACCTACTACCAGGAACAGTAGTCCCGACATGTCTACCCATTTCATGGTTTCAAGTGTCAGGGTCACCAAGAAAGACGTGACTCACACAGGTACTCGATGGAGCAACACTTTATTCACACAGAGAAGAAACAGAGCAAGATCAGCTTCAATACTGAACATCATCCTCCCATGGCCAACAGATCTTGCTCAGCAGCCACCACAACAAGATGGTTTGCACTGACCCCTCTTTTACTACAGGCCAAGGACAATTCCATCTCCACTGGAGCAGATGTACCACATATAGCCATGGGGTTAGCCAGGTGCCATATGATACACACACTTAGGCAGAACAAAGAAGTAGACATCAAGTCTGGAACAGGAAAAAATATTCGAAAGCAAAGAATTATATCCAGCACAGGCAGCCATCTTCATCTCTTTGTAAGGAAATGTTCTGGGTCCATGTTAGGCCATTTGTGTGGCTATAAAGAAATGCCTAAGGCTAGGTAATTTTTAACTAAAGGAGTTTTGATTGGATGATGGTTATCAAGCTGTACCAGCATGGCTGCAGCACCATCTGCTCCTGCTGAGGGCCTCAGGAAGTACACAATCATGGCAAAAGGCAAAGCAGGCTCAAGCATGCCACATGGCAAGAGCGAGAAGGGGGAGGCCCCAGACTCTTAAGCAACCAGATTCTTTTAAACAACCAGATATTTTATTTCATTTGTTTATTTATTTGTTTATTTATTCATTTATTTTGAAATGGAGTCTCGCTCTGTCTCCCAGATTGGAGTGCAGTGGCGCGATCTCAGCTCATTTCAACCTCTACCTCCCAGGTTCAAGTGATTCTCCTGCTTCAGTCTCCTGAGTAGCTGGGATTACAGGCACCTCCAACCATGCTGGGCTAATTTTTGTATTTTTAGTAAAGAGGGGGTTTCACCATGTTGGCGAGGGTGATCTCAAACTCATGACTTCAAGTGATTCTACTATCTCAGCCTCCCAAAGTGCTTGGAGAGCCACCGCCGGGCTCAGATATTTTAAACAACCAGATTTCATGTGAACTAACTTAGAAAGAACTCACTCATCACCAGGGGATGGTGCCAAGCCATTCAGGAGAGATCCACCCCATGATCCAATCACCTTCCACAAGGCCCCATCTCCAATGTTAAGAATTACATTTCAACATGAAATTTGGAGAGGAAAAACATCCATACCATATCAAGGCCCAAGGCTCTTTCTTGTGCCACAGTGCAGAGGTTAGAAGATTACATTTCTTTCCCAACAGCAGATTTGACCAAACAGTAGAATAGGAATCAGCAAACTATTGCCCCCAGGCCCTGGCCCATAGCCTGCTTTTGTAAATAAACTTTTATGAGAACCCACTTATGCCAACTATTTTCCCATATTTTCTATGGCTGCTTTCATGCTACCATAGTAAAGTAACGAAGTTACAAAAGAGACCTCATGGCCAGCAGTACAACAGAGACTGGCCCTTTACAGAAAATGTTTGATGACTCCTGGAGTAAAACATTACCAACTACCACAAACAATAGGATTTGTGCATATAATTTTGCTGGTTAGAGATCAAAGCAGTTGAATGTGTTTTTGCCAACAAATATTCTTTTGGTGTAATGTATATCACAAGAAAGCAAACCAAAATCATGAGAAACAAAATTGGAATTATTGAATCCCCAAGAAATAAAGTACTTGCAGAATGTATGTCATGGAGAACTTTAAAAATCCAGCCCCTCCCCGCCACACACACACAAAAAACTCTTGTCTTTTACCTGAAGGCAGGAGATGAGGCTGGTTAGCCTCTTAAAAGTCCTTCTAGTCTTGCATCTGTGATACTCAGCATGGAAGAGGAGTTTTGCTTTTAGTCCAGTCAAATATGTTTCTGCTAACCCCAGAAAATGCTTCTAAATGTACAATGGCTGACATTCTTAAAAGTAAACATGGTGTCTTTTCTTCTGGAAGATGCTATTGTTCAAATAATGACACTTCCTCTGACATTGACAGTGGCGAGTGGAGTAGAATGTCAGACTATGTTCTAGTGAAAAATTGGATCAAGATTCCCCTGACACCGCATCAGCATTTAACAGGCCAGACTTACCTGCCATTCCAGTGTGCCCTTAAAGGACAGGCATAGAATCAATTAAACCATCACCAAACAGAATTCAAGTATTTTCTTCTTGCTTTTAATGCCAATAGTTAAAATTTTGGTTCTTATCTAATGGTGGTGAACAAACAAAAGGAAAAAATAAAAAATGCCACGGCCTAAGCAAAGGAAGCAATGTACTTAATATGGTGAAACTAAAAAAATTTTCTTCCCCTATTGCTTTCAGAATTATAGTCTACCTTTTTTACCCTCATTTTTTATTCCTCTGGTGACATTCAAGTCCTAGAAAATGTTTTTGAAAGCAATTATATTGCTAAAGCAAGTTTCCCAAACTCCCACAGCTTAACTTTTCAGCTTAAAATATCATGTTTTAAAAGGTGTTGGCATTCAGTTTTACCTAACAAATAGCTGGATCTTTAAAAAGAAAATATCTGACAGTTTAACAAGAAAAGTCTGTGTGTGTGTGTGTGTGTGTGTGTACGCACACGCACTCACGTCTGTGTATTGAGTGGGCTGATTATTTTGCTTTAAACCACTGACTTATTTAAACAAATTTAAAAAAAAACCTTACATGAATTATAGACTGCTGCTTCTACAGAGGTTTTTACTGCAAATAATTAAAGAATGCCAGGTAAAATTTGTCCTTTTGAAACTATGTATTTGAAAGGGAAACCTAACACAGTTAAATATACGTTAGTGTTTGCTTTTCTAATTTTTAAATACAGACTTACTCTCACATTCATCGCATTCATCTACTTGCCTAAATATAGATAAATGGCACATGTAAGGATGATAAATTCCTAAAATCAAAATAAGAATATTTAAAAAAAACTGAAAATACCTTTCCCTTCTGGCCTTGATGGTATATCTGGAATCAGGTTTTCTCCTGCTATAAATAACTAAAAAGTAGATATTAAAATAGCTATTATCAGAAATTAGGCAATAGGCTGTGCAGGACTATTAATTATGAAAGAAAGAACATAAATGAGGTGAACCTATGGATATCCTAACTTTCTACCTGGAAGCATTTTGCAAATAAGAATATAGAGAAGGAAGCCCCAGACAGAGCACAGTAATCTTGCCAAATTGAAGAAACAGATTTGAACTTGGAGAGTCTCAAGAGGTTAGAATTTGTGGAGCAGAATTACCAGAGAAGATAAATCTATACAGAAAAAATATTCCAGAAATCTGTAGAGGAATGTGTTTGAGTCTTCATCTGAATACAAAAATATTCATATGACCAGAGAGTACACAAAGCCAGGCAGGGGCAAGTGAGTATAAACCAACCAATTTTCAGAACACACAGGACTGGCAACTATTCAAGTTCTGACAAGAAAATGTGAAGATGTTTTGAACACTCATCGCATTTCTTAGAGTTGCCATAAAAGAATGGCTTAGTTGTAAATAAACCCTGAAGTAAACACTATACCAGACAGATGTTACAAAGCTTAAACACAGGAAGTGATTAAGTTGATCTGCACCTAACTTAACTGCCTGGCAAAACAACATTTATCTTTTTAAAGGAAGTCAACAAAATTCAGATATGCAATATGGCATTCATAATATACAGCATCTAATGACAAACTAATGATAAGAGTGTAAGGGTGAAAATACATGCAGAAACAGAAGGCGCAAAGTCAGTAGAAACAGACCTAGGAATGACAGATATAATGGAATTAGCAAAAAGTGGTTTAAAACAACTACCATAAAATGTTCAAGGATTTAAAGGAAAGTATGAACATATTAAGAAGACAATGGTGAATCTATTAATGATGAAACTATAATATATGAAAGAAAAATCTCATTTATGTCCCTAATGTCTTTGACTGCATATTTAACACTGAGAAAAAAAAAGTATCAATCACATTGGAAACATAGCAGTGGAAGCTATGTAAACTGAAGCATATAGGGAGAAAAAAGTGACATAAATGAATATTCTAGAACGTAAATATTGGTTTCTAAGTAATAATCTCTATTAAAAGAAACCAGTGTTCCTTGGAGAAATGGCTATTCCTAGCGATAGAGGAAGGAAAATACAAAATGAGCTTGGAGTATCTTGCAGTGCCAAAAATTAAAAGAATTCTCAAAATATAAAGGGATGGGACATGTTAAAGGGACACAGGAACCAACCTGAAAGGATTCCTCATGGCTAAAATTGGAATAATTTTGGCCATAAAATAAATATTATTTTGTTCATAGCCAAAAATGTAAAAATATGTACATGAGACCATATTAATATGAACAAATAATAAATAGGGATAGAAGAAATACCTTTCTTATACAAAAATTCAAAATAATGTATATAGAAGTCCTTCCCACCCTTATCAAATGAATTTGAGTTGGACTTAGAGACTCTAAAGAAACAAGGAAGGAAGGAAAATGGCCATACTGCCCAAAGTAATTTATAGATTAAATGCTATTCACATCAAGCTGCCAGTGATTTTCTTCACAGAATTAGAAAAAACTACTTTAAATTTCATATGCAACCAAAAAGAACCTGTGTAGCCTAAACAATCCTAAGCAAAAATAACAAAGCTGGAGGCATCAAGCCACGTGACTTCAAATTATACTTCAAGGCTACAGTAACCAAAACAGTATGGTGGTGGTACCAAAACAGATATATAGACCAATGGAACAGAACAGAGGCCTCAGAAATAACACCACACATGTACAACAATCTGATCTTCAACAAACCTGACAAAAACAAACAATGGAGAAAGGATTCCCTATTTAATAAAATGGTGTCGGGAAAACTGGCTAGCCATATGCAGAAAACAAAAACTGATCCCCTTCCTTAAAACTTACATGAAAATTAACTCAAGATAGATTAAATACTTAAATATAAAACCTAAAACCATAAAAACCCTAGAAGAAAACCTAGACAATACCATTCAGGTATTCATCAGCTCATCATCACTGGTCATTAGAGAAATGCAAATCAAAACCACAATGGGATACCATCTCACGCCCGTTAGAATGCGGATCCTTAAAAAGTCAGGAAATAACAGATGCTGGAGAGGATGCGGAGAAATAAGAATTCTTTTACACTATTTGTGGGAGTGTAAATTAGTTCAACCATTGTGGAAGACAGTGTGGTGATTCCTCAAGGATCTAGAACCAGAAATACCATTTGACCCAGCAATCACATTACCAGGTTTATACCCAAAGATTATAAATCATTCAACTGTAAAGCCACATGCACATGTATGTTTATTGAAGTACTATTTACAATAGCAAAGACATGGAACCAACACAAATGCCTATCTATGATAGACAGGATAAAGAAAATGTGGCAAATATACAACATGGGATACTATGCAGCCATAAAAAAATAATGAGTTCATCTCCTTTGCAGGGACATGAATGAAGCTGGAAACACCCTCCTCAGCAAAGTAACACAGGAACAGAAAACCAAACACTGTGTGTTCTCATTCATAAGTGGCAGCTGAACAATGAGAACACGTGGACACAGGGAGGGAAACATCACATACTGGGGACTGTCAGAGGGTGGAGGGAAAGAGGAGAGAGAGCATTAGGACAAATACCTAATGCATATGAGACTTAAAACCTAGATGACGTGTTGATAGGTGCAGCAAAGCACCATAGCACATGTATACCTATGTAACAAACCTGCACGTTTAGCACATGAATCCCAGAACTTAAAGTAAAATAAATAAATTTAAAAAAACAAAGACACCAATGCCCTTCATTGGGGGAAATGAAAGACTTTTAAATAAAAAGTTCTTGAGTGTAAAAAAAAAAAAAAAAAAGAAACAAGGAAGAAAAAGAGAAAAACTAATTTTTCAGTGGGGGAAACCCAGCAAACACTAGCTTAATACATCATCAAGAACGTCATGTAGATAACATGTACACCTGATAGGATATGATGAGCAGGATATTCCACTTTTAAGGTTTTCTTTCCTCAAATTTATAACCCTAGTATGATGAAAAGCAGAAAACAAACAAACAAAAATTGAGGGATATTATATAAAAACCTTACCTATACCCTTCAAAACTGTCAGTCATGAAAAATTTAAAAGGCTTGAGGAACTGTCACAGACCAGAGGAGACTATAGAGAGAGGATAATAACAATCAAATGCAATATGATATCCCGGTGTTGTGGTTGGAATATGTCTCTCTAAAATTATGTGTTGAAAACGTAATTGTCATTGTAACGGTAGTAAGAGGTGTGACCTTTAAGAGGCAATGCCTAATTAAGCCATGGGAGCCTGGCCATGCCGAGACCCCAGAACTGTAGGGCCACCAGCATGCAATGCCAGTGTGGCAGAGCTGCTTTGGCTGAGCCCAGAAAAGCCATAGGAGCAGGGATGCCTGAGGTCATAGTGGCCCAACACTTACCCCAGTATATCTAGAAAGTGGGACAAAAGTGAAAGGAGATTATTCTCCAGCTTTAAGACTTAATGTTTTCTTTGTCAGGTTTTGAAATTATTTGGGACTAATTATCCCTCTTTTCTTGCATATTTCTCCCTTCGGAAATGGGAATGACTATCTTCCACTTGTCCCATCACTGTATTGTAAATTAGGTAACTTGGTTTTATTTCACAAGCTCACAGACAGAGAAATTTATCTAGGGGTGAACTGTGTTTTGAGTCATATTCTTATTTGATCTAAATGAGACTTTGGGCTTTTTAGTTGGTGTTGGAGTGAGTCAAGACTTTTGGGACTATTGGGGTGAAATAAAAGTATTTTGCATGCGAGAAATATATAAATTTTGGAGTCCAAAAGTGGAATGCTATGGTTTGAGTGTGTCCCCAGAAAGTTTATATGTTGTAAACTTGGCTGCCATTGTGGCACTGTTAATAGATGGGTGCTTTGGGAGACAATGAGTCATGAGGTCTCTGCCATCATGAATAGTTTAATACCACTATTGATGGAGTGGTTAGTTTCCGTGTTAATTCAGCCCGTGTTTCTTCTGTCTTGTGTGCTTACTCTCACCTTTCACCCTTCTGCCATGGCATGATTCTCACCAAACACTAGTGCCATGCTCTTGGACTTCCCAGCCTTTAGAACTGTGAGCTAAATAAACTTGTTTGTTTATATATATATATAAATTACCTAGTCTGTAACATTCTATTATAGCAACAGAAAAACATATGAATACACCTGAATTGGATCATTGGAAAGAAAAAAAAATACATTAATGGAAAAACTGATAAAATCAAAATAAGCTCTGGAGCTCTGTTAATAGGGAAAAAACAGAACCTTAGTGATCTATGGGAGAACTGCAACATGTAGCCTTAGACTGACATAGTTCTCTCCCCTTTGTTACTTGCAGTTCTCAATAATACCTGTAGAATGTGCTGAGAATGCAACATCTTGAGTTAAGAAAGGAAGGGCTGAAACAGCCTGGGCTCTATTCCAGTTCCATACTTAGGTCCTTCAGCACTTTTTCCAGCAATTCACATTACATTGAAGTTTAAAACCCAAGGTAGGCTGCTTTCTGAAATTCCTGCAAGTGGACCACATGCAGTTGAGACTCCTTCACCCTGGGGAGCTATTTTGAGATGGGAGGGATTGGCTCACAACGAATCATAGGTTTTTGTTGTCCCTTGGTGCCTATCTGTAAGTAGTAAACCCATTTCAAGTAACTTGTTGCATGCATGAGTATTATGTCTCACTACACTCAGACAAGCTGGCAACCAGTGCACAGTGAATCTGCTTCATAATAACATTAAGTTTTTAAACATGTCTGTAGCCCCCAATAGGAGAAGAAAGAAATAAGGGAAAAAATATTTGCCTGAGGAAATAACGGTCAAACATTTTTCAAATTTGATGAAACTAAAACCTAGAGATCCCAAAAGCCCACTTATTTTCAAGATGGAAAGACATAAAGAAAATCAAGTCACACCATAACCAAATTGCTTAAAACTAATGACACAGATAAACAACTAGAGAAGACACATTACTTGCAGAATTTTAAAAAGTAACAATTGAGAACATAAGAAGCAATGCAAAACATAGCACAATGTAATGACCCCTTTACAGCACTGAAAAAAGGAAATATCCATCAAAAATTAAAGAAAAATAAAGATGTTTTCACACAAACAAAATGAAGCAAATATAGTACCACCAAAGCCATGCTACAAGACTTACTAAAAGGAAGTTCTTCAGGCTGAATGAAAATACTACCTAAAAGGAAACTCAGATGTACATTATGGGAAGAGCATAAGAAAATTTAAATATGGCTTAAATATACAATATATTTCTTTTAAATTTTTTATACTCACAATTTCTAAAAAATAGTCAACAAAGTATTTTAAAGTCATAAGATATATGTAGATTTTAAAAGTGTGATAACAAAAGCATAAACAGCAGGAGTAGTGGAAATAGACATGTACTTCATTAAGATTCTTATATGACATATGACTTGGTATAGTATCATTTGAAAGCAGGTTATGATAACTGATATTCTAGAACAACCAGAAGAATAAAAATAAAGGGGAAAAGCCTGTAAGCTATTTGATGAGACAGAATATTAAAATATACTCAGGTGGGGTGCAGTGGCTCATGCCTGTAATCACAGCATTTTGGGAGGACGAGGCAGTCAGACCATTTGAGGTCAGGAGTTCAAGACCAGCCTGGCCTACATGGCAAAACCCCGTCTCTACTAAAACTACAAAAATTAGCTGGGCATGGTGGCAGGTGCCTGTAATCCCAGCTACTGGGGAGGCTGAGGCAGGAGAATCACTTGAACCCGGGAGGCTGAGGTTACAGTGAGCCAAGATCACACCATTGCACTCCAGCCTGGGCAACAAGACTGAAACCCCATCTCAAAAAATAATAATAAATAAAAATAAAATATACTAAACCCAAAAGAAAACAAAAAAGAGGAAAATGAAACAGAGAACAGGTTGGTTGGGTGCTATGGCTCATGCCTGTAATCCCAGCACTTTGGGAGGCTGAGGCAGACAGATCACTTGAGGTCAGGAGTTCAAGACCAGTCTGGCCAACATGGTGAAAGCCCATCTCTACTAAAAATCCAAACAAATTAGCTGGGTGTGGTAGTGATGCCTGTAGTTCAAGCTACATGGGAGGCTGAGGCAGGAGAATCACTTGAACCTGGGAGGCGGAGGTTGCTGTGAGCTGAGATCATGTCACTGCATTCCAGACTGAGTGACAGAGCAGGAAGGAAGGAAGGAAGGAAGGAAGGAAGGAAGGAGATGAGAAAATATAAAACTAACACCATGAAGGGAGAATTAAATACCACCAAAAAGAAAATTAGACTAAATGTACATATATGCTCTAAATATTTCCATCAAAGCGCAGAAGTTGCCATACCAGATAAAGATTTAACAACATGTTGTCTGCAAAATTTCCTTAATTATAAAGACATATGTAAGTCAAAAGTAAAATGATGAAAAAAGGTATGCCATGCAAATACTATATAAGAATGCTAGAGTAACTTTTTTAATATTAGCAATATAGACTTCAGGGGCAAGGAATATTATCAAATATAATAAGAAATCTTACAGATGATTAAAGTGTCCATTCATCAAAGGGACATAGTAATGAAAATAAGCATGCACCTAATAACCAAGCTTCAAAATCCGTAAGGCAAAAAACTGACAGAACTTAAAGAGATGTGAACAAATCCATCATTAGGTTGAAAGCCTCAACACTACTTGCCCATTAAATAGTAGGGCAAATGTAAATAAAATAAGTAAAAATATAAAAAATTTGAACAACATTATGAAACAAATTTAGTTAATTTACATATATAGAAAATTTCAGTGAACAATGGCAGAGGCACATTGTTTTCAAGTGCATATGGATTGTTCACCAAGATAAATCAAATGTTTGGTCATTTGATAAGATTCTTGAATTGTATAGAGGTTATTCTCTGATCAGAGTTGAACTAAATCAGAAATCAATAACCAAATAAAATATCTGGAAAATTATTAATAACTTTGAAATACAAACAATGTGCCCATGGATTAAGGAGAAATCACAAAGAAAATTATAAAGTATTTTTAATTAAATGAAAATGAAACACACCACAAATGAATGTTTGTGGGATTCAGAGAAGGCTGAATGGAGCAGAACTTATAGCTTTAAATGCTTATATTAAAAATGAAGAGAGATCTCAAAGTAAACTCGATGTTTCCACTGTAAAAATACTAAGTAAAAAAGCAAATTAAAACAAAATTGAAGAGAAAAAAGAATTTTTGAAATCAATGAATATAATAAATTAAAAAACCAGATAAATGTAATAAAATTCAAAGCTTGTTCCTTAAAAAACAATAAAATTGATAAACATGTAGCTATACTAATTAGTATAAAAACACAAATTACTAATATCAAGAATAGAGGGTCTTCAAACCTTTACTGGACATGAAGGAAATATTTTTAGTAATTTATAAGAAATGAATAAATGTCTTAATAGATACAAATTACAAAAACTGAAAGAAAAAATATATTGCTTCAGAAAATCTAAATTCCTTTATCTCTCTTAAAGAAGTTGAACTTATTTTTAAAAAGCCTTCAAAAATGTAAGTTCTAGATGCATATGTGGTCATTGATGAATTTTACAAAATATTTAAGGGATAATTAATACCAATCTTACATAACCTCTTTCAGAAAATAGAGACAGGGGAAATACTTCCCAATTCATTATTGAGGCCATTAATATTATATCAAATTGATAGAAAGAAATTACAGGAAAAGACAATTACAGAGCAATAACAACTATGAATGAAATCATGTAAGTCCTAAAACTAATGTTTAAAAATTAAATCTGTAATATATAAAAATGGTAATGCATATTGACTGAATGAGATACCAGGAATTCAAGATAGGCTTAGCATTTGAAAGTCAATTAATATTATTCTCCATACTGAAAAACTAAGGGGATGTATATAATCATTTCATAAGATTCAAGAAAAAAATGACAAAAATGCAAAACCTATTTATGATTAAAAAAAAAAACTCCTAGCAAACTAGGAAGAAAATAAAAATTCACAAATTTTGAAGAGCAGCTATGGAAACTGTAGCTGACATCTAAATTAACTGTGATAAACCAAACACTTTTTCTCTAAGTCTTTGAATAAGGTAAAGATGACTACTCCCACCACTTCTGTTTAATGAAATATGCAGATCTTAGCTATTGAAATGAGGAAGGAAAATTAATCAGGAAATATACATTGGAAAGAACAAGTTAAACATTCTTTATTCAGAAAAACATGATTGTATATGTAAAAATTTACAGAAAAGCTACTGAAACTAATAAGGGAGTTTCATAAGGTCACGTGATACAGACCAATTTACATAAATCAATTGTATTTCTACACACTAGCCATGAAACATTAGAAAGAAAAATTAAAACAAAAGCTGGCCAATCTGAAAAGCCTACATAGTACATGTGATTCCAATTACAAGACATTGTGGGAAAAGACAAAACTATGGAGACAGTGAAAAGATCAGTGGTTGCCAGGGATTAAGAGGAAGGGAGGAATGAAGAGGGGGAGCACAGAGGATTTTTACAACAATGAAACTACTTGTCTAATAAAATGATGATGGATACATGTCATTGTACATTCATCCAAACCCACAGAATGTGCAACACTAAGAGTGAACCCTGATGTTAAGTATGGACTTTGGGTGATAATGATGTGTCAATGTAGGTTCACCAATTGCAACAGGTGTACCACCCTGGTGGGAGACATTGATAATGGAGGAGACCATGCGTGTGTGGGGGGAAGGGAAATATGAGAAATCTCTGTACCTTCTGTTCCTTTTTGCTGTGAACTAGCCTAAAAAATAAAGTCTTGTTTAAAAGATAAAATTTTAAAAAATAAAAATAAAATTTGTTCTTAGGAATAAATTGTTTTAAATATATGCAAGTATATTTTCTCTAAAATTGTCTATAGATTCCATGCAATCTCACTAAAAATCCCAGGATGCGTTTTTGTGGACATTGACAATCCAATTTTAAAGTTCATATGGAAATACAAAATATCGAGAAAGTTAAAAACAATTTTGAAAAGGATAAATAAAAATCCACACCCACTAGAAGAAAATGAAAATGTGTAGCAATTTTAATTAATTAAAGGATATTAATTAATTAATGGATATGAAGCAGTAGAACTCTCCTCTATCACTGGTGAGAATGTGAAACACCATTTTAGGGTGCTGTTTAGCATTTTCCTACAAATGTAAATTCATCATATGACTCAGCAATTCCACTCCAATTTATTTACACCAGAGAAATGAAACCGTATTTCTAAGCTTGTAAATTCATGTTTATAGAATAATATTTATTTATAATAGCCAAAAAAAAATGAAGACCTCAAGTTCTAAGAAGTGAATAGATAGACATATGGTGATATAATTCTACTTAGTCCAACTCAGCTAAAAGCATGAATGAATCTAAAAAATATTATGCTGAACTAATGAATTCAGACACAAAAGGATATATACCACATAAACTAATTTATGTGAAATTCTATAACATCAGATCTAATCTATAGTGACAAAAAAAATTATTAGTAGTTGCCTGCACTCAGAAATAGGGGATGAGAATTGACTTCAAAGGGGCACAGATAAATTTTTTTAGAGCTGGAACTGCTCCAAATGTAAGGATATAGATATATCAAAACATTTATTGTCCAATTCATTGTGAATAAATTTTACCTGAAAAAATTAATTGAAAAAGATTTTTAAAAAAGAGAGAGAATGAGTGATTTCAGATTGGAGGTGTTCTTTAACATTGTCCCTCATTTACCCCAACCCTGGATTTTACTGACTCATGCCCAGAGGATCTATGTTTCAATCTAGATGCCACAATTAATTAGCTTTGTGACCTCAAATAAGTCACTCACTTCTCTTAGCTTTCTCCTTATTAAATGAGAGAACTAGACTAAACAATCCCCAAGGTCCATCCACCTCTGAAAAATCTAGAGTGAAAGAACATACAATTGAAACCGTAATAGGGTCATTAAAATGTTCTCTTTATTTTGTATTTGCTTTAATAAATAAATAACATATAATTCTTAAAATGCATTTATGTGACTGAGAATTCAGTGCTGGAAGACTTTTTCCAACACTGAATAATGTTACCTGAAAGGACAGGGGGAAACCACACACACACACAAAAAAATATGCAAACATGACTTAGGGTTCCAGTGCCTTAAGCGAGGGAAGCAGATACTACATTCTCTCTTTTGGGTTATTCACCAGGGATCTTAAAGATGAATAAAAAGCCTACTTTTTCTTTCTGGTTTTTAGTCACCAAAACTAATCATTAGCAGATTTTAAAATGTGATAATTAAATTATTCAGTTCTTCTAAGGACATAGAAACTTCTATTGAAAAGCAAAATAAGAGTCCTTGGCCTGAATATTGTGTTTGAAATGTAATCTATAATGTGATTGTATAATCAATTCACCCCTGACTTCCCAACAACCACAACAAAAGCTACTGAAACTGCAGTACACTCTCTAGATGGTTCTCTTTTCTATTGTATATCACTAGGACCTGGATTAACTCCAGGTAATGCTCCATTTTTTTTTTTTTTTTTTTTTTTTGCTAATTTAAGAACTTACACGATTCCAGTATGTGTTTTAAGGAATGGAAACACTTCTAATTAAAATATACTTCAGATGCACCCAAATACTGAATAGTTTTTAAACGTTTCCCTCTCTTTGTTGTACAACTTTATAGTAGGAGACAGTTTTAATCTGTAAAAGAGCCTAACCCACTATCTGGTGGAGTCTGTGTTCAAGAATTGTTTGAATTAGGCCTGGGGCCAAGGGAAGGCAAGTGAGGCACTTACCTTAGGTGCCTTAGTACACGTGAGGTGCCAAATCACATAATCAAGATGAATAATATTTTATGCAATACTCTCTGTATCTGCAGGTTCTGTATCTGTGTACTCAACCATAATACAAATTTTAAAAATACATATCACAACTATTTATGTAGCATTTACATTGTAATAGGAATTATAAGTAATCTAGAGATAATTAAAAGTATAAGGGAAGATGTGCTTAGGTTATGTGCAAATACTATGCACATTTTACATGAGGGAATTGAGCATCCACAGGTTTTGGTATCACAGGGTTCCTGGAATCTATCCCCCACGGACACTGAGGGATGACTATATTTTAAAAATCAAATTTAATGGAAAAATACCTGAGGTAAATAAAATATCAAAATGTATTCATTCCCACTAAACAAAACTCTGTGGTGAATGAACTGCTTTATATTACCTTATTCTTACAAGTATATTTCAGATAGATCTTTTAAAAACTGGACTAGAAAGGAGAAAATAATTCTGTTTCATCTCCATTAAGAAGAAACAAAGTTTGAATTCCAAACTCAGAAAAACAGATTCCTATCTTTTTTTGTTACTATCATATTAAATCATATGGGGGCAGTTCTTACCTGTTGATATGAACGGTATTTGTGAAAGATGAATAAATCATCTAGAATTATTTATTTCAAAAGATATTTGAATTGCATTGGCATTTATTTACTGATAGTGTTAAAAATGATATATTCATCCTTTAATTTTTTAGTAATATGCAATCTAATCAGTCCAGACAGACCTCTAATAATGCTTTAGCCCCACTCTTAAGTCTCATTAAGGAAGAAAAAACTGTCAGGGAACTTGTGCATGTGCAAAAACTGTGAGTAAAGTCAAGGGAGGGAAAATATTATAATACATTCTACCTTCTGAAACCTACAAGTATATTTCTTGTATTCTAAATTAACTAAAACTTGGATGTTTAAATGCTGCTCATTACAATCATACTTCTTCTATATTTCAACATAGATGCTTTCATTATGCACATTAACAGGGAAATATAATACAGTGTAAGAAGCTTCTTTAAAACCCAATTAGATAAGAACTCAGGAACAATTAATGTTATTTTACACCAATAACCAAAGTAAATCAGCCAATGATAATAAATTTGGATATTTCAACTCCTGAACATTAACTATCTCAATTTGCATCTGCCTCTGTGTTAAAAATAATTAATATATATGATTCACTCAGGATATTTTAAATAGTACCTTGGTTCTGAGGCCAATAATTATAAAATAATGCCTAATGCATAAAGTTACTGAGATACTGACATTGTGTGTAAGGCTGAGGGCGTAATATCAAAATAGAGGTAACTTACATGAGCAATATTGTTTTTGTATTTTGTTTGAAAATTTTATTTTTATGTGCAAGCTTGGTAATATTTTAATGTGAGCTCTAAATTGAATGTATCATCTTTATTTTTTATATTACAGCCATATACACAAAGTGACCTGCTGCTAATACAATATGTTTTATGTACGTAACCACCAATAAGCAGTAAAAGTACTGTTTCGGTAAATACACATACATAAGCACATACATAAGTACAGCCTAGGTGGAGTGTTTATTCACACACTATCACTACATAGTTGTTGAATCTACCCACAGCTATATTCTATCTGGATATAGATACATTTTAAAAAATCACAAGAATAACTGGTGCAGCTTTATAAATTATAAGCTTTTAATAGCTTAGGGGTAACGTTTTCCTGTTAGGGAGGTTAGTTGGTGAATTTTCCATTTGTCTACAGACACTTGTGTGTAAGCATAGTAGTGGATATCAATTCAAAATCTCCCCTGTCTGGTAGGCATAGATGGACATAGAGGAGGTAAGAGTGAGAGAAAATATCTATATCTGCTCAGCCCAAAAGCTCAGTAAGACCAGGTCACTGCTTGACTCAGGGAGGCACCTTGTCTCACGTTATTTCGTGATTATTCCTCCTACAAAAAAAAAAAAAGAAAAAGAAAAAGAAAAACAGTGAGTAGTACCAGGCTTTCTCCACTATAACTGTCACTGGAATCTGTATTATCTATATTATATTTGATGTCTTCTCTCTAGGTTTTACTATGTTCTTACAGGTAAAACTCCCAAAATCTGGGAGATTTTGTTTTTCTTGAACATTATCTCCTTTACCCTGAGAATAATTTTTGGAATACATTGTCATATGTAACTAAGAGGTAAAGGATTATAAATTTCTCTGAAACTTGTATAATTTCATATTGTATAATTTGACAGTGATTTGAAGTTCAGATTTCTAAAGAAAGCAGCAGAGACCTTACATCATCTGGTGGAACCATGTCAGCTCCATAAGAGCTATGGCTGTCACCAATGCTTCATAAATGTCACCCCTCCAAGATTAGCAGAGACTCACTAAAATAGGCCTCCTTCCTGTGCTTAACAATAAATTTCTACCTTTTTGAATTACCTCAAGAATGACTCTTCAAAAAGAGTATTGTTGACCACCGAACAACATGGGTTTGAACTGCATGGATTCACTTACATGAGGATTTTTGCAGTAAATACAGTTGTCCCTACGTATTCATGGGTTCCACAACCACAATCAAAGGTGGATGGAAAATAGAGTATTTGAGGCATTCAAAACTCACAAATACGAAGGGCCAACTTTTTATATCAGCAGTTCCACAGGTCTGACTGTGGACTTGGATATGCATGGCTTTTGGTAGCCAAAAGTAGTCCTGGAATCAATCCCCTTGGGATAACAAGGTACCAATCAAAATACTTATACACCAAGTGGGGTTTATTCCAGGTATTCAAGGCTAGTTCAGCATTAGAAAATCAATCATGTAATGCATCATATCAATAGATGAAAGAGAAAAATTCATATGATCACATCAGTTGACACAGAAAAAGGATTTGACAAAATAAAACACTATTCAGGATAAAAACCCTCAGCTAACAAAGAATGTTGGAAACTTCCTCAATATAACACCCACCGATAACCTACAATTAACACTATATTTAATGGTAAGAAACTAGACATGTTCTCCCTCAGATCAGGAACAAGGCAACTATGTCCTTGCTCATTAGTCCTATTCAACACTGTAGTTGAAATTCTAGCTAGTGCAATAAAGCAAGAAAAATAAACATAAGTTTATAGATTGGAAAGGAAGAAATAGGACTGTGTCTATTCACAGATGGCAGGATTATCTATGGTAAAAATTCCAAAATCAACAATAACCAAAAACTCCTGGAACCAATAACTGAGTATGACTAGGTCTCAGAATATAAATTTCATATATGAAAGGCTGGCAAAGAACAATTGGAACTTGAAAATTTAAAATTTTCAATACTTAGATATAAATCTGATTTTTAAATATAGATAAGATATACAAAAAAATACAAAACTGGTAGAAAAAAGAACATTAAAATATGGAGAGAGATTCAGTGTTCAAGTATTATTATTTTCATTCTCTTCTATTAAAAAATTTAAAACGTAAGTCTTATTTTACATATAGTTTAAAACTGAAATCTGAGTTCAAATGCTGACTCTGCCATTTTGGTATCTGTGTGATTTTACTTTAGTTATTCAACTCCTGTTTCCTAATTTTCACATCTGTAAATCAGATAATAGTACCTTGTAGATTCATTTTCTGTATCGAATCAGTTAATATATCAGAAGCACTTAAATGGAACCTGACAAATAGCAAATGATGTATAAATATTGCTGTTAGCATCATAACCATTACAATGGGAAACTATTCAGGAGTTTTAATCAGGGAAGACCCTGGCTGCTAGGCAGCATATTGTATCTGTTTGGAAAGAGAGTAAGACAAAGTATAAACAAAAGTATGGTTAGGGCTCACCACTTTTAAATGAATCTGCATCACATAAGGTTTGTGAATCAGAAGTAAAGTCTAAGTGTGGTTGTTACAAGCGCAGTAAAATAAAATGAAGTAAAAAAAATTTGTACTTTTACAAATGAAAATCCTGAATCATCTGATGAAGAGACTAATGTTTCAGAAACACAGGGGCACAAAAAATAAGACAAATAGGAATGCTTTATTATTTGATATTTCCAGCAAAAGAACTACAACATGGCGGAAAAACAAAATGTCATTCAACCTTCTTACACATATTTTGCAATTTAATTTTTTTTAATTGCATATGGGAAGGTGGAGACAGAAATCTCCATAATGGTTTTTATTGCTTTCGCCACTGAAGGTTTTAATCCAGTCCTAGTTCTGAAGTTATCATGTGGCCCCTGATGAGGAAAAATAAAAGTCCACTACACATTTTCTCATTTAAAGCATATTGCACCCATTGCTGTACATGGACCTTCATGAATCAGAGGTAAGAAAAATATTAGCTGAGAGTTCCAACCGTGGAGTATCCACACATCATTCACTTTTCTCCTTTAATAATTAAAACTCACTATGTAGGCAATTTTTCTCATGACATTCATTTATAAAAATGAGTAAGTAAATGTTACACCCAGCTAACTTAGGAATAGAGTTTGAATTTAGCTATTCCTAAAAACTAAATAAATAAATACATTTTCTGTTTCAACAATGTTTCAAAATGTGACCAACAGCAATTTGCCTATTCTGTCTTTTCTTCAGGCACAAAATGTATAGTGTGGCTGCTTGTATGACTGACACCAAGCCCGTTTTAACCATCCAGTTTATTTTTACACCATCCAATTTAAATTATTTTTATGATCCACAGCCCATTAATGAAGGGGTGCATCACAGCCTGTGACATCTGGCAGTGTAGTAGGTG